>NC_000014.9:75217773-75369288 GCF_000001405.40 Homo sapiens | reverse complement strand
GGCTGAGGCAGGGGAATAGCTTGAACCCAGGAGGCAGAGGTTGCAATGAGCCAAAATTGCACCACTGCACTCCAGCTTGGGTGACACAGCGAGACTTCATCTCAAAAAAAATAAAAAATAAAAAAAGATGACGATTAGGTCATGAGGGCTCATCTATCATGAATGCATTAATGCCATTAGCATGGGAGTCCGTTCCTGATTTAAAAAAAAAAAGAATGAATTCAACCCATTTTCTCTCACTGTCTCTTACCCTCTCTTGCCATGTGATGCCTTCTACCATGTTATGACACAGCAAGAAGGCCCTCACCAAATGCAACCCCTCAGTCTTGGACTTCCCAGCCTCCAGAATCATGAGCCAAATTGAGCCTTTATCAATTATATAGTCTGTGATATTCTGCTATAGCAGCAGAAAACAGACTAAGACACCACTTTATCAGAGCAGGGAGACAATAGATAATGTCCCCAGCTGACCTACTGGAACAGAGAAGAATTATCATATTGCTTAGAGATATGAAGGCAAACTGGCATAACCAGAAATTGAGACAGTTAAAAGCTACTGCCTCCAGGAGGCAAGATTGAATCCAAGGAGTGGGATGGAGGCCTATTTTTAACTTAAGTCCTTCTGTGCCATTTATCTTTCTAACTGTGTGCATGTAGATCTTCAATTAAATGTTTGTAAATTTTTAAAAATTCAGATCTGTCTGATTCCAAAGCTGCATCCCAGAGTTATGCCCCAGGCAGGCTAATCGGAAATTCATGGACAAGTCTGTTTGGAGTAGGCAGACAGAACTGTTGCTTACTTCATAGGAATCAAGCACAGCAGTGAGTGTCTTAGGCTTGGTTTGGCAGCAGTGCCTGGTGCATACATTCCTAAGGTAAGAAGCTGGCCAAGCCCTTCATCTCATACCCCAAATAGATGGACACACAGATTCTGAGAGTCAGGGGAAATACCAGCCCCCATACTGTGTTGGACTGGAGGCCTCTTCATTTCCACTAGATTGCTGCTGAACTTGCCATCACCAAGAATAGGGATTCACTTTTGACTTTCTGGGCCCCTCCCAGACTTTAATATCTATGATTGAGACTCTCAGCAGCAGGGACCTGCTAACTGGAGAATGTCAGCAATTGGGTTGGCACAGGAGAAGGAGCTTCTCCATTGTGAAGTTCTTCTCAAAGGCTACTGTGGCAGGGTGGTTAATATGGGAGGGTCAGTTGGTTGGATAATGCCCCTTCTTATTTAAGAAAAAACAACAACACTTTTTTTAGACTTACGAATGCAATACGACTACAGTACTGAAAGTTTGGGAAATTCAGAAAGGTTGCCCCAAAACCCCACCACCCTAACACAATCAATCATTACTTTTTGCCATAGTTTCTCACTTCATTCTCCTCTGCATCTGTTTTTTTCAGTCTGTCATCACAGTGTACACTAATTTGACCCTCGTATCTTCTGCTAAATTTATATCATAAGCATTTTCCATGTTGTTATGTAAGCTTCATAACTATCATTTTAAATAGTGCATAATATGAAGTGCAGGATTTTGTCCCTGAACCTAGGAACACTGGAACCTGGTGTACGGTAGACAATATGTGTTTTTAAATGAATGGAATGAGTAATTGGGCCATAATTTATTATTCTTCTACTGTGAGATATTTAAGAAATTTGTTCCCAATCTTCCAACACATTGTCTTATTTCTTGCCTGAACGCCCTTCCTTTTTTTCCTTCTTCATTCAATTTCCCCAAGACATTCTCAAACTGCTCTTTGCCCCTCTTTCCCAGATCCCACTGGCTCTATCCTTCATGTATCACAAATCAAACAGGTGTGTGTTAAGCACAGGACAGGGTTGCATAAGAAAAGCCAAATCCTGTTCATGGTGGCTTAGCCGAGTGGGAAACATCTACAAGCCACGTGCAGATCCTGCCTGAGCTGAAACCCCACCATGTCCTTCAGAGTCAATGTGTTCTGTCAACACTGCTAACACCATCAGGTAGCCGTCTGCCTAAAATAGTGGCCCAGACCCTGCCAGTTATTGCGTCTCATTGCTTACATTTTTCATGTGAATTTAAACATTCAAACATCACGAACATGAAACATGAACACTCAACCCACTGTGGCATTTTAATGAGGTTCAACTGGGTTCAGCACATTCCACTACTTACAATTGTGTAAAAGCTTTTCGACCCGGATCACTTCCTTAGGTCTGACCCCTTACAGCCAAGACAAACTTTGTGTTTTCTGAGCACTTGAAAGGCTGGGGAGAATTGTGTCTGGGGAGATGGTGAACCACCACAGGGCCTACCTTGGCTCTGATTAGCTGGACCAGACATTTAACTGAGCTAATCAAAAGCCCCTGAAGAGGAAATGGCTGCATGATAAACTCTGATGGGAGATTCTCACTCACTCACCCTGAAAACCCTCCCCACACACTTTACCTTGCTTTCTACTCTTTGCAAATCATAGCACATCTGCAGTTCCTAGAAGTTTCCCATGGAGAGAGTAAAGAGTTATTAATATTCCCATCTGACAGATGTGGCAATTGAGGCCTGGAAAAATAGGGTGACTTTTGTGAGACTGCAGGACAAAGCACTAGTCATCTAAGGTTCCTTCTACTAAACAGATTTTGGTACAAACTAAGCTGTAAGAAAGAGGCTTAAAATACACAAGCCGGCTGGCATGGTGGCTCACGCCTGTAATCCCAGCACTTTGGGAGGCCAAGACAGGAGGATCACTGGAGGCTAGGAATTTGAGACCAGCCTGGTCAATAAAGAGAGACCCTGTCTCTACAAAAAAAAATTTTTTATAAAAGAAATACACCAGCCCACAGGTAGGTGGTCCAGGCTATTAGGGTGGCTCTGCCATCTTCAATGCAGGCTTCCATTGCTGCATCCAAGGTGGCTTCTCCAGTGGTCCTCATCCCCCCAGTAAGAACGAGAAATGGGAAGAGAAGCAGCCATACACTCCTTTTTTGGGCCACACTCAAACGTGTGTTTCTTCTGATCCCTCAGTGGCTGAGACATTGTCACATGGACAGACCCAATAACAAAGGAGGTTGGGTGGCCTTCTGTCCAGCTCCCACTCTGGAGTTCTGTTATCAAATGGAGGGGGAAATGGATATCAGTGGACAACCAGCCCACTGCAGCACATAAGTCATGACAACTCCACAGCTGGTAGATGAGGAAGCCCAAGGTGCTTGGTTTTAGCAGCCTCTGAGTGTCCCAGCATCTGCTCCCTAGTCACTCAGCAGAGCTTGCAGCCGTGATCTCCCTTTGACACACCTGGACCACAGCAGTGCAGGGAATCTGCTTAAGATCCGTGTTGTACTGGGCTCAGAACAACAATAAAAAAAGAAAACAAACAAACAAAAAAGCATGGAAACTAGCCTTGCCCACTAGGAGCTTACATCTTAAAAAGCAACAGGCTTCCTTGTAGAACAAAGTGTGAAACCAACAGATGACTGGATGGCAAAACACAGACACCTACACCAGGCAAAGATTTCCATTCCAAGAGACCAGGGCATCAAAAGATAAAGTGAAAAACTGCTTGACTGGTTTTTAAGCTTAGCCTCCTTCCCACCACCTCCCCCAGTGAGCCACCTCTCCCCACTCCAAACAGTTCCCCTTTCACGTTCTAAGCAAGCCATGTACACACTTACCTTTTTCCTTTGCTCTGCTAATCTAGTTCAGATAACATCTCTTTCTCAAGAGTGCCCTGTGTTTCCCAAACAAAAAGTAGTCGTTCTATCTCCCTAATCCCCAAACACTTTTTTATATGCAGATCAAATCACTATCACTTTGTATTAGGATCAATTGGGCATAAATCTGGGTCATCTCCTACAACCTAGAATAAGAATTTCACCTAATCTTGTATACCCAGTGCTTAACACAGTAAGTACCTGGGAGATAATGGGGGCTTAATGAATGAGTTGCCCTTAGAACGGCAGAAATTGTGTCTTACTTATCTCCATATCCCTGGAGCATAGCACAATGCCTGGCATGTAGTTGGTTGTTCAAAAAGTGGAGTTTGATTGACTTGAATTTAATTAAAATGCAAATAGTACATCTACCCAGAGAAGCAGAGTCAGATACAGCAAAGACAGGAACCACAAAGTAGGGCATATCTGGTGCTAACCCAGTTCAGTTGCACTGACCGGGGGGTTTCAGTCTATAGATCCTATATGGCCAGCTTGGTCTGCCCAGCAGATGCCGAGGTTGGCAGTGCATTTGGCAAAGGTTCTCTAGAGCTTGGGCCAACCAAGCTGCATTTTGGGCTCCTCCTCCTCATTTTCTCTCCCCACACTCACCCTCCAAGGCTCAGTCCTTGCCTACAGTTCTGGTCTCCAAACCCCACACCTGCTTGGCACTAAGGTAGACTAGTGAACTAGACAGATAAGGTCCCTGTCCTCGTGGCACTTAAAACCTATCCAGGGACCACACTAAGCTAAATGACCCCAAAGTGACATGCTCAGCTGTGCTTGTTACCTTGAGAGTAGCATCTGCCTTGAGGACACCAGGTATTACAGGCTCAGCATGTCTTCTCTCCTGTACCTGGATTCAGAGAACATGACTGTGAGTCCATCTGAGTCCCAGACTTGCTACCTACCAGCCATGAGCCCATCTTTTATCCTCTCCGAAACTATCCCTTCATCTGTAAAATGAGGTCAGTAACAACCTCTGTTCTGCCTACCTTCCAGATTGGATGAGGATTAAATAAGGTATGTGAAAGGGCTTTGTAAGCTGTAAAGTAATACATGTTGCTTATGACTGTTGTTATAATTAGTATTATTATTACTAAGTAACCATTCCTCCTATCTCCTCCCTCTGACCATCAGTGATGCCAACATCCCAGTCTCCCAGCCTAGAGGAATCTTCGTTTCTGTCTTTCCAGAACCCTTTCTCCCCTTCATCAGATACCAAAGCTCCTTTTCCCTTTGGGGAGCACATTCCATGTGGCACATGCCCCTCCCGCAGCCCAGAGTCCTCCATGCACCTGGCCATGGTGATTCTCAGAAATGGGCACAAGACTAAGCCAGCCAATTGGAGTCCTTCCTGGAATTTTCTCACCAAAGTTTGCGGGAAAAAACAGGGTCCTTTCTGCTGGGAGGTGAGAGTCTGGGACTGCCAGCAACCATTGATTCCATGATGTGGAGAAAGCCTGTCTGAAGAATAAAGTCAAGCAGAAAGAGAAAGAGAAAGACCGTGCCCTGGATCCAGCTGTTCCTAAAGCCAGCTGCAACCCTGAACTTCCCAGGTACACTCATAAAGACAAGCTCTCTTTTACTTGAGCTGAATTGAGTTGGGTTCTGTCACTCAAAAATGAAAGACTCTAGAGTAATAAAAGATTCAAAACTCAGGTGACATGTTCTGTTTGTCTCTTTCCTTTAACCCTAATGTTTAATCTGTTGAAACTCACATTTGTCCCTTCTGCTGCTACATGTTCCTGGCCAGATTCTCTTTGTCTCATACTTGGAGGCTGCCTGATGGGGAGAACTGTAGGATTCAAGCCAGACAGAGCTGGGTGAATCCCAATGCTACTACTTACTCATTGATCATGTGAACTTGGACTTCTCTGGCATTCAGTAACTTCATTTGTAAAGTGGGACAAATAACCTCTACCACGCAGAGCTGCTGTGAGTATGAAATGAGACGTCTATAAGAGCCCAGTGGGGACTCAATAAGGGGTAGCTATTATTACTATTTTTACAGCAGCCCCATTTGATCCATCAGTAGGAGAAGGTGATGCATCAATCCTGTTTTCAGTAGAGGGCATTAATCATGTTCTCTGAGCTCAAACATAAAAATAGGATCATGGTCCAGCTGAGAAAACCAAGCCCTGGAAGCTGTGGATGGCTGGGGGCCATTGGGTAGAACAAGAGGTGATGAAACCACTGGAGGAACGAGGCTTGGGCAGGGGTGGTCTCCTGGCACCAAGGAGAGGTGCCCTGGCTAACGCAGCCCCAGTCTCCACAGCAGCCAATCAGAGGCAAGTGCACAGGTAGGCTGAGGCAGCCATCTCCGGAGAGGCCAGGCCAGTCCCGGAAGGAGAGCCTTCTTCCAGGTGAGGTTGAGAGTGCGGTCATTGCTCAGAGACTTAGCAGACTTATGATTTGCTCTTAGTGTATAGTTGTAGGTGCTCTACAAAATACTGAAAGTGGAATCTATTGTTTCTTTTTTTTGACCACTAGCTTGGCTCGTTATTTCTGAAGAAAGAGAACAGGGCCAGGAGTCTGACATCTGAGGCTTCAACCCCATTTGCGACTGATAAGCTATATGACCTTGGGAAACTGGTCTCCCCTCTCTGGGCCTTGATCCCCTCACCTGTGAAGGGGGTCAGTAAGGGGTGGCAGATGTTCTCTAAGGGCCCTTCCGATGCTAACATTCTAAGTCCGGTCCATCTCAGGCCTGGAGGAAGCCAATCAGGCTGGGCCCAGCCCCCCCACGATCCCAAACTGCACCAAAGTTTTGTTTTCAAGGAGGCCAAGGCAGCCGGGTATAGTGGCTCACCCCTGTAATCCCAGCACTTTGGAAGCCGAGGCAGATGGATGGCTTGAGTCCAGGAGTTTGAGACCAGCCTGGACAATGTAGCAAAACCCTGTCTCTACAAAAAATACAAAAATTAGCCAGATGGGTGGCACACATGTGTTGTCCCAGCTGCTGGGGAGGCTGAGGTGGGAGGATCACCTGAGCCAGGGAGGTCAAGGCTGCAGTGAGCCAAGATTGTGCCCCACTGCACTCCAGCCTGAGTGACACAGTGAGACCCTGTCTCCAGGAAAAAAAAAAAAAAAAAAAAAAAAAGGAGTCCAAGGCAGGACGTGGGGAGCCATAGCTATTTATCCTGGGAGAAATGATGGGGTGTGTGCTTGGAGAGGGAGAGCCCAGGGGACAGTATCCCCACTGGATAGTGCCACCTCTGTGACACCTCCCCTTGGAGAAAGGTGAACCAGGAGCTAGGGGTGAGCAGCTCTGTTTAACAGCTTTCCATTTGTTTACCAAAAAAATATTGTTTCATCATAAAAATTCCCAAAATAGTTCCTTCCCTGGTCAGACTGACTGGCGGGCGCCCAGCTTGGGAGCCCAGCCGTGCTGGAGACACACTCTCAGGAAGGCAAAATTAGCTGGAAAGGTCGGGAGCCGCAGTTTGGGGACCACCAGCCCCACACATCCTGTGGGGTGGGTGCAGAGGGTTAGAGCCACAAAATCACCTTTCTAGGGGTCTTTCTCTGGGCAGTGGCAGGATTTCCCCCAGAGGCTCAACAAACTTATTTTTAGCTAAGAAGGGCTTCCTCTGCTCTTGGCGAGGGAGGGGGTCATGTCTCCTTGGCTGGAAGTGACACAAATGTTTTACCCTCTGAGGGAATGCACCCTCCCACACTCATTCTGGCTAACACTCTCTCATCTCACAGCCCCTCAATGGCAGCTCTTCAGAGAGCCCTTCTCTTAAAGCCTTCTCCCCAAAATGGCCCAAATTAGGACCTTGGTTATAGAGTCTCGTAGAATGCTGCCTTTTATTCTTGGAGAACTTACCCCTGTTTGTACCTATAAGTATGAAGGTCTGTCATAGAACATTACTCAATACATATCCCCAGTGCCTCACACATAATAGGTTCTCAATAAGTCTGTGTTGAGTGGTGGGTGAATGCTCCCTCTGTCTGGGACCCCAGACACTTCCCAGGGACATGCCAGTCTTATGGGGACCTGTGTGTATTTGAGGATGAGAGAGTGAGGAAGAGGGATAAATAAAACATTTCCACTCCATCCCTGCGACTAATCTCTTCTTCTGCCACTCACCCCAACCTAGCCAGAGCAGGACCCCACAGAGGAAAATGACCCATAGTTAAGCAACAGAATCATCCTCACAGATGAGCCTTGCAACAGCAGCCCAGAGCCTCCAGGCTGCATTGCCAAGCAAATGTGGCAGGCACTCGCATGGCCTCCGGAAAGGCCGACCAACCCCATCCCTACCACCTCATGCCTGAAGTCTTCCTTAGTCTTAGTGAAGTGGGAATAAATTCACCCTTAGAATACATTGCTAATTTTTACTGATCTGCAACATGCAATGTAAGTTAAAACATTGCCTGGGGCTGGGCGTGGGGGCTCAGGCCTATAACCCCAGCACTTTGGGAGGCCGAGGTGGGTGGATCACTTGAGGTCGGGAGTTGGAGACCAGCCTGGCCAACATGATGATACTGGTGGTGCATGCCTGTAATCCCAGCTACTGGGGAGGCTGAGGCTGGGGAGGCAGAGGCTGCAGTGAGCCAAGATTGTGGCACTGCCCTCCAGCCTGAGCAACAAAGCAAGACTCCACCTCCGAGAAAAAAAAAAACAAAAACATTGCCTGGCTTTGCAACTCAGCTTTAAGACAAGTCTCCACCCTACATCCTGGGAAAAGAGAGAGAAAGAGAGAGAGAAAATGATACGAAGAGTGAAGATGTTTCCTTGGGCCATTCCACTCAGTAAATATGGGCTCCACAGTAAGACTGAGGAAAAAAGATGGCAGATGCTTCCCCAATTGGTCTCATTTACCACAAACCTTGGCACCTTATGGCACCTTTCAATGGGCTCTAATGTATAAAATGTGTATTTTTCTATATCTTGACCCCTAAATGCAAGGCAACTACTTTGTGACACATAAAGCCATGTATATGCTATGTTAGTAGAGAAGTTATCTTCACAAGTAATTTTACTGGATATGATTTTCTTCTTTACACACTGACTTTAGAATGTGACTCCCACTTAGCATCCAACTATATTGTTATTTGCATCTATTGAGAAAAAAGCAGACCGTAGAGCCAAGCAAGAGAAACAAAAAACAATCCTCTGGAATTCTACCACTCAGGGAGAACCACTGTGCATTTCTGAGGGGCTGTTTTTTAAGGCAAGCGTGTGTACAAATGTGTATTAATTCCATCAATATCTCATACAGGGAAAACCAGACAGATGTTCTTTTGAAGGTTACAAGTTGGTTTTTTCTTTTTTCCAAAGTCTTTTCTTTCCAAATACAGTGGGATTTTCAAACTCCCCTCCATATTCTGGGTTGATTTTCTGCACTGTTAAAATGTGTGCCAGATAATCTTGACATCCTTGAGTCTAAGCGGGTGAGAGTCAGGATTCATTGGAAAAGATGGCTGAAGGGGCTGGGCATGGTAGCTCTCGCTTATAATCCCAACACTGTGGGAGGCCGAGGCAGGTGGATCACTTGAGGTCAGGAGTTTGAGACTAGCCTGGCCAACAAGGTGAAACCCCGTCTCTACTAAAAATACAAAAATTAGCTGGGCATGATGGCGCTTGCCAATAGTCCCAGCTGCTCGGAGGCTGAGGCAAGAGAATCGCTTGAACCAAGGAGGCGGAAGTTGCAATAAGCTGAGGTCACGCCATTGCACTCCAGCCTGGGCAACAGAATGAGAATGAGACTCCATCTAAAAAAAAAAAAAAAAGAATGGCTGAAGGACCAGGACCAATCTTTTCCCTTCTCCCTCTTCACAATTTGGCCTCCAGCTGGTCCGGTGGGGAAGCAGCCCCAGGAAAACCCTGGATTACGTCCTATGCTCCAAATCCCACATATGCTGTACCCACCCCAGAGTGCTGAGCTTTACCCCACACTTGTAACATCTGCAAAAAGGTAGGCTCATCACCATGCAGCCGTTCCCTCTTGAGACCAGATGACAGAGGGAGAAATGGAAAGAATGTTTAGACTGAGAGAGGTAATTCAGAAAATAAACACCCTTATTTGACCCATTCAAGCCTTTTCTAATCTTTGATTGTTTCTCTTCCCAGTTAAGGAGAAAGGGATAATTTGAAGAGCGACAGGGTTCAGCATTGAGTACTAACTAGGAAAAAAAAAATGTTTGATACACCATGTGTTTTGTAAGGGTCTGGTTTGATTTCATTTTGCTTTCTTCAGTACTTGGTGGTTGCAAATCTAGTCCAAGACTGGCTGAGGATTTGCAAAATCAGTGGTTTTGACTAAGTATTTGGACTTTGATCTTTGAATGGGCACATATGTGGAATTAACCTTAAAAAGAAAACAGCTCTGCTTAGATGAAAGAAATTGCCAGCCGCTTGTTCCCCTGAACGTAGAGGTACTTCTATACCTTGGCCAAATGGACTACTAAGGAATTTAATAATTACCTTTCCAGTGAGAATGGCACATATTCACCACTCAGATTCAAGAATTTGTTTAAAAATGCAACTATAAATAGTGCAGGTACTTCCAGAGTTTCTAACATCGGTCTTGCAAATTTCCTGTACTTATGAATAGCCTGTTGTTCAAAGCCACCCAACCACACTCAGCAACTGGGTTTGTGTGAGCCAGTGCCCCATTGCCACCTTTGTATTTATTTATTTAACCACCTTGTTCCCCGAATAATTTAAGATTGCTTTTTAAAACATATGAAATATAGGCTGGGTGTGGTGGCTCACGCCTGTAATCCCAGCACTTTGGGAGGCCGAGGCAGAAGGATCAGTTGAGCCCAGGAGTTCAAGACCAGCCTGGGCAACACAGTGAGACCCTCTCTCAGTTAAAAAAAAAAAAAAAGTAGAAAAAGAAAAAATATATATATATATATATGTATATGAAATATAATGAAAGCAAAACAATAGGTAAATGAAATAAAGGAAAAAGAGGAGCAAGAAAGAAAAAATAAAATGAAAATGCTAAGAGTGACATTTTGGCTCTGTCGGTTGTGAGGGGCTATACATTTGCTCAAGATGTAACTTCAAATTTAAATATGAGCTTCCTAGTGGGTAGAGCAAAAAAGAAAAAAAAAGGAGGCATGGTCAGTTGTATGGTTTATAGGGTCCATAAACTAAAAGCCAGGTGTTTAGGAGAAGCATAACTATTCCCGGAATGAAGAAAGAGAAATTTATTCCATTGATCCCCATAAAGAAAACAACACTGTAACCATAAATATGACAAGAAATCCCATAATTTTGTCTCTTAAAACATCTCTTGGCAGACGCAGTGGCTCATGCCTGTAATCCCAGCACTTTGGGAGGCCAAGGTGGGAGGATCACTTGAGATCAGGAGTTCAAGACCAGCCTCGGCAACATGGCGAAACCCCATCTCTACAAAAATTATAAAAATTAGCTGGGCATGGAGGCGCACACCTGTGGTCTCAGCTACTTGGGCGGGAGTGAGATGGGAGAATCACCTGAGCTCAGGGAGGTTGAAGCTGCAGCGAGCTGTGATTGCACTACTGCACTCCAGCCTGGGCAACAGAGTGAGACCTGTCTCAATCGAAAAAACAAAAACAAAAACAAAAAAACATGACCTGGTGCGGTGGCTCATGATCCCAGCACTTTGGGAGGCCAAGGTGGGTGGATCACCTGAGCTCAGGGGTTGGAGACCAGTCTGAGCAACCTAGAGAGACCCCTGTTGCTATTTAAAAGTAAATACATATATATACGTATATATACGTATGCGTGTATACGTGTATACGTATACGTGTACATATACATACGTATATGTGTATATGTATATACGTATATGTGTATATGTATATATACGTATATGTGTATATGTATATATGTATATGTGTATATGTATATACGTATATGTGTATATGTGTATACGTATATGTGTATATGTGTATATATACACACATATATGTATGTATACATATATAAAAGTAAATACATATATATGTATATATGTACATATATGTATATATATACACACACACACACACACACACACATAGCTGATTAAAATCATCTCCACGGAAGACTGAAACCACATGGTTCCGACCTATAGCTGATGTGATTCAATGATAAATTTTAAGAACTAAGGGGCTGGATAGACTGTATAAGCCCCTAGATAATCTTCATCAACATTTAATTCCCTAAACCAGGTATTTATAAGCACCATGAGCACAATGAATGAGTCTGTGGTTGTTTCCTCCCAAACCAGCATTTGGGATGTCAGTTCACTACCACTCCATTTGTTTAACTTTAGCTAAGCCAGGGTAGGGTCAGTGTCACTGGCGGGTGGTACAGGGAGGTGATCATGCCTCTTCATCATCCCCTTTCTTCTCTTACAGGGAACACTTGTAATGTCAAGTTCTTTCCTTTTCTCCTTTTCGAGGCCTAATGGGCCCATCTAAGAACAGCTCTCTCTCACACAGTACTGCCTTCAGAAAGTGGAGCTCAGGCCTCATTCAAAATTTCTAAGTCCCTCTCTTCCTATCCACTCCCCCAGGTGCCCTGAAGGATTCTGGGATTCGTGTCCATGGAGTTGTTCTGGGGCCCGGCTGGGTCCGGGTTCCAGGAAAATGTCAGGGCAATCAGATCTTTCCTTCTGGCTGGCAGGATATTTCTTCCATGGGATGGCATGGGATTGGGCTGATTGAATGGTATTGACATGTTGATTTGAGGTGACTCTCACTTTCATCAGAAACAGGGAGCATGCAGGGCTCTGCACTATTAGTGACCCCCACAGACCATTGGGCATAAGCTGCATGCGTGGGCCTGTGTATCAGCTGTCTCCTGCTTCCTTTCTCCTCCCCGCAAGAAATAATCTCACCCTAAGGGCGTCCCTGAGTCCATACATAGGCAGTTTCTTTGTCTGCTGTATTCCAACTCACACCTACTGATCTCAAGAGGAAAAAATGTTTCCCTTTTTCTCCCTTCACTCTATTCCATTGGTGAGCAAAATCCCAAACCCTAATCACATCTGATTATCAGTGGAGCTAATGAAGCCTAAGAGAAGGAAGAGAAAGCCAAAGCGTAAAAGTCAAATGAACCATGCTCAAGATCTGGGACCATCCCCATCCAAAGCCCTTAGAATATCTCATCTCATCCTTGCAAAGTCACCACCTACCTCCACTTCTAATAAAAGCCGCTCACCCCTACCACCAGCATTCGTGATCATTACAAACAATGTCTTATTTAGTTTTATAATTTTTCCATTTAAGCACTGATGGTGAAAAAGACGGTTTCATACTTGCATTAAGTCTAAATGGGCAGTATTTCAACTGTATATGGAGTTAAGCAAGTTTCAAGGATTAACTAAACCGCACTGCCATCATGTATAATCGCATTATTTTTATGAGAAAATGTATTCCCAGTTCCAATAACCACTTTATAATTGAGCTTCTGGTACAGAAAGCTAGGCTCTTCCTATCCAGTATCACCTACACATGCAAAAAAGCAAGAACTGGGAACACTGACCACCACTGACAATGTCTAATGCCTGAGCGTCTAAAGAGGGGCAGATTCTTCCAAAAATGGTCACTTCTGTATTCATTTGAAATATTGGTGCAACAAGTATTATTACAACAAAAATGCCTATATGTGCAAACATGCACACACAAACATGTACACACATACCCTGCAAAGAGCTCCAAAGTGTGAGAGTTGGTTCAAGTATTAAAGCACCATTTGGTAGGGCAGGGTCAGGGTTTGCATGTTGGGATTTGCACTCAGGAACATCGGGTTCTAAGATCCCTCTGGGGACGTGATACAGTCATTGGGAAAAGTTATATTCTTTTCTTTGTAGGCTATTTGGGATATTTAAACCTTTTATTAAAAATATTGCCTGTACTTTTGATCATGAAAATGTAGACATGTATTTATATAAAATCAAATTACTATTGGTGGGTTAAATAGAAAATGAGGATGGAAATGCAGTGAGTTGGCCAGTTATGGTGGCTCACACCTGTAATCTCAGCACTTTGGTAGGCTTGGGCTGGAGGATCACTTGAGGCCGGGAGTTCAAGACCAGCCTGGACCACACAGCAAGACCCCATCTCTATCATAAAATAAAATAATAAAATAAAATAGAAATACAGTGAATTAAGACACAGGCATCCTCAATTCCAGACCAGCTCTTCCACTGACCGTGGGGCCGAGGGTAAGTTACCTCACCATGCTGAAACTCATAATACTCTGTGGAAGGGAAGGGTCAGGCCAGATTTATATCAAAGGGCCCTTCCAGGCTGAATGTCCAGGATTTCATCCCTCAACCAGCCCTGAGTCACTCTACACTGTCATCGTGTCCACGCAGGCCCTGAAGCACCAGTCCCAGGGCTGAGAACCTCCAACCTGTTTCCTAGGTGAGAGGAGAATCTGCTTCCCGCGGAGGCAGATGTCTGCACACTCTCACCTCCCTCCTCTATCTCCAAACATTTGGTGGCCTCCTGTATACACAAGCTCACGGGCTTCGTGATGCTGAGTATAAACACAGTGAGGTCCAGACCCCGAAACTATGAGGAACAGATGATGGTATCATAACAAAAGGCAGAAAGCTTGGGGAGTGTGTCCAAACCACATAGCAAATCCACAGAGTAGTGTTCACTCCCTGCAGGAGGAGCTGGGGGGGTCACCAGGCTGGTCATTCTCTCTGTCCCTGCCTGCCCACTCTGTACCCCTGGAGGCCCAGACAGCAGGGCTGGCATGACAGTGAGGATGGATTTGTCCTCAGCATCCACCCTCTTGAAGCAGATAGTGCTGGGCAGCCCCTGAGAATGTTTGCTGGTGGCAGTTCTTGGCCACACAACAGTCAGAAAAAAGCCCCTCCTAAGTACTGGTATTCATAGCACAGAAATGCAATCTCCAGGATAAAATAGGAAGGGAGGAGAGTTGTGTGGGGTGCTATGGATGGGGAGGAGGGCCTCCGGATGGTTGTGTTACATTTTTGTAATTCTAACAAGTTGTGGATGTGTTTCTGCCACATACTTCTAGAAGTTAAACCAGGATACACCAAGAACACAGAATTAGGTCTGCATTGTGGGCTTGGGAAATGATTCTGCCACTAGATTATAAGCTCCGAGAAGGCAGGGGCTTCGTCTGCCTTGCTCACAGTTGTGGGCATGGCTGTACATCCAGGAGGTCTTCAATACATATTTGTTGTAGGCTTGTTAATCAACCAAAAAGCAAGTCGACTTTGAGTAAGAGTCTAAGACTTACTCTGAATAAGACTATGAGTAAGAGTTATTTTAAATGAGTAGTGAATTGGAAGATCAAGCAAGGGAAAAGGAAATTGCAGTAGGGCCAGGCACAGTGTCTCATGCCTGTAATCCCAGCACTTTGGGAGGCCAAGGCGGGTGGATCGCCTAAGCTCAGGAGTTCAAGACCAGCCTGGCCAATATGGTGAAACTCCATCTCTACCAAAAAGACATAAAATTAACCAGGTGTGGTGGCACATGCCTGTGGTCCCAGCTACTTGTGGAGGCTGAGGTAGGAGGATCACTTGAGCAAGGAAGGCAGAGTTGCAGTGAACAGAGATCACACCACTGCACTCCAACCTGGGTGATAGAGTGAGACCCCATCTCAAAAAGAAAAAAAAACGAAACTACAGACAAAATTGGGAAGGAGGTGGGAAGTGGGGCTGCATTCCATGGCAGGTCAACATTGTTGCCTTTCCAGAACCACAGAAATTCATCCCAGAAATCCTGTTAGCCACTCGAGGCTACTATTTGCCCCCAAAGTTTAAATATATCATATAAAACTTTATAAAGTTTTAAATATAGCATATAAAACTTTATAAAGTTTTAAATATATCATATGTGTCATCATTATATATGATACATTTAAAACTTTATAGTTTTATATTAGCTATATTAGGCTATATTAGCTCTCGGGGTGGGACATAGTGAAATTTTCCTCTTGTCATCTAAAAAGGCCAAGGAAAGGAACCTCTCATTCACTGAGAGGTGGGCATAGCACCCTAGTTCTCCCCGGGGCAACTTCTGGCCAGGCCGAAGCCCTCATTCCCTCTGAAACGGAGGTGGTAGAGGCCAGGAGCAAGCATGGAGGAGGAGAGGAAAGGAGGCCAAAAAGGCCCTCTCCCCACTTGGGCCCACTGCCCTCAAATCCCCCACCCCAACGTCCCTCCAGATCCTCCACGGACGGTTCTCTCCTCTTTGGCACGTTGCTAATTTCTGAAAAGAAGGTCCTGGGAGCTGTGATTGTCCTGTACCCCCGAAGACGTACACACTAAGGAAGGTGTGAAGCTGCCGCAATCAGATGGTGCCCTTAACAACAGCCAGGGTGAAACCCCCTGAACACCTGGCTTTGTGAATTTCACAGCCTATTAACCCTGGTGGGTCTTTCCTTAAGACTTCTTACACCAGCCCGTTAGGGGAATGGGGGCAGGCAGGGAGCTCAGGCCTCTGCTCTACCCACCGAAATTGGTTCTAGGGCCCACTGCGGACAAACCACAGACCTCTGAGGATTCAGTGAGATAGTATAGGCAAAAATTGCACAGTGCCTGGGAAACAGGCATGCATTTTTTTTTTTTTTTTTTTTTTTTTTTTTTTTGAGATGGAGTCTTGCTGTCGCCTGGGCTGGAGTGCAGTGGGGTGATCTCAGCTCACTGCAACCTCCACCTCCCTGGTTCAAGCAATTCCCCTGCCTCAGCCTCCTAAGCTAAGCAGGGTCGGGCCTGGTTAGTACTTGGATGGGAAACAGGCATGCATTCTACAAATATTTACTAGCATTTACTATGTGCCAAGTACTGTTCTAGGCACTAGGGATACAACTCTGAACAAAGTGAAATCCTGTTCTTCTGGAGCTTCCATTCCACTGAGAGAGGCAGATAACACATAAACAATATATGTCAGATGCTAAGGGAAAATAATCAAGGAGGCCAAGGCAATGAGAGGCCACCATCTAGGCTGGAGGGCCAGGTAAGGCCTCCCTGAAGGAGGCCACGGAGCAACGGCCACCAGCCCCTCCAGAGGTGAGAGGGCTCATTTGAGAGTAGGAGGTTCACTGGGAAGCCTGGCTGTGCCTTAACACAGAGCAGGAGGTGATGGGGAAGGGAAGAGAGGGTGGGTTGCCATTATCCATCTCCACCTTAAAGAGAGTTGGTGTGGTTCGAATGAATTTCCCAGAAGCCCCTCCCTCACCTGCTGCAAAGGAGTCACTGGTTGTCCTGAGGGCTGCTTATTAAAGATTGTTTCCAGCTGCCTCAAACCAACGGCAGTCCCCTATATGTGTGCTTCTGAGAGGCTCCTCTCCCAACAGCCAGTGCTGCCTCAGTTTCTCCTGGGTTGTCAGTCTTTTGAAGTCTAAAAATTAAATGATTCAGATCAAATTCTTGATCTGGCACTTACTGGCATGTGTCCTTGAGTGGGAAAATTTCTTACCCTTATAGCCGGGCACAGAGGTTCTTGCCTGTAATCTCAGCACTTTGGGAAGCTGAGGCGGGAGGATTACTTGAGGGCAGGAGTTCAAGAACAGCCTGGGCAACATGGTGAAATCCCGTCTCTACAAAAAAAAAAAAAAAAAATTCTTAACCTCTGTGAATGTGCCTCAGTTTTCTCCCCTGCAATGTGGAAATTAGTGCCAATGCCTACCTTGGCATTGGCCATAGGATAATAAAACGGGCTCATCCAGGAAAGCACTTAACACAGAGCCTGGCACACATAACTGCCTTAAAAATGTTTGTGACAGACCCCAGGTCACATCCTTTATCCCTCTGTATACTAGGCCCTTGTCCTTTTACGCTCTCTGATGTCAAGGCAGCTGCAGCTGTGAGATTTTCCAGCCCTTACCCAAAGCTGAGAACCAAAGACTGTTCATGGTACATTTCTGTACTAGAGGAATAGGAAAGCATATGATTGGAGAACCTGATGGAGACCCCACCCTTCTGGACAAGCATTGACACTCAGGAATATCTGCTGTTGTTGCTACCCAGCTTCCATTCATGCTATCTTCAGGAATGATGCCCTGATTTCCCCTACAGAACATGGTACCCCACTCCCATTCCCAAAGCTTCAGATGGAGGCCTCTCCTGGCCTCAGAGTAGAGCACAAACCTAGGACTCAACCAATCAACGCACTCCATTCTCCTCACCACAGCAACTGGTTGGAGGATAGAAACACCGTCCATCTGAACCAATGACAGCCAGGCCTAAACTTTGGTCTGTGGGGAAACAGATGCTCTCTTTCCTACTGAATTGGATCTTAGAAGAAGTTACTTGGAGCCACTATGAATTTCTTCATTTTTTAAATCAGCATGCCCCCATTACTGTGTGAATTTTAAAAAAGGATGAAAGCTCAGAGCCAAAGGATTATTTGATATAACATATGTGAAAGCTTTTTGTACAAGGCAAAGTTCTATGCAAAATGTCAGAGCTCCTAAAGTCAAGCTATAAAATAAGACTGAGCTACTTTCACTGAGTCTTTTACTCTGCATCAGGTGTTTTATATGCACTATTGAATGTTACTGAATTTAATACTACCAATTGCCCTTTGAGGTAGGAATTATTTAAGGCCCATTTTACAGATAAAGAAAGTAAAGCTTAGTAAAATTAAGTATGCCCAAACCCACACTGGGGGGTTCTCTGGTAGAACAGCCTGCCTGTGTTATATACCCATATGACCAAAGGAACTGTGGAGTTTAACTTGTGTAACCTCACCAGATTCTGCATACAAGATGAAGTCACATTAGCTGTTATACCCAAATTTAGCTAAGTCATGCAATTATGCCCAAGTTCAGCTGAGTCCTGGCCCCTTTCTGCTCACAGGGATCTCATGCTACCCCTCCTTTGCCCTTCTCTCTCCCCTATCTCAAGCTCCAGACACCAGAATACCAAAGCAACTCCCCTATTCCCCACCCTCTGGTGCAAATCACTCAGACCAATGCCTGGAGAGCTCAGTTTGCAGCCATAGCAAAGCAAGATCACCCAGCTACAATGATACAATTGCCTGCCAATCACAAGCCAGCAGCTCTATCATTTTGTAGAGAAGGTTGGCTTCTCCTCTTATCTCCTCCATATTTCCACCCTCACATGTGGCCTTTTCTCTCCATTCATCTCGGTCCTTGGAGAAGGAAGGTCCTTTCTGAGTCTCTTCAATATCCAAGGTCTAATCTCTTCTGTATGTGATCCCCACCTACTACTGGAATCTTCCTCCACCCTTGGCTGGTGTGTCTCTACAGGCATCTCCTCCTACTGCTCAGATGGCACCTTCACCAGCTCCTCCTCCCCCTCCTGCCATCTTCTAACTCTGGAAAGTCACCAGGACTCAGTCCTGGATGCCACACCATTTTCCCTTCATAAGCTCTTCCTCAAGTAGGCCATTTCTCTTATGGCTTCAGTGACCACTTCTCTGAGGACAAATTCTAACTAAATCTCAGGCCCGGCCCACAGAACGTCCACTTGGATATATCCCTGTCACCTTAAAACCTTCAAGCTTAGAAGGGTCCCAAGTCCTCCCTGACAATTGGTTCTCTCTCTCCTAACTTCTCTATGTCTGTGAGCACATCTGTTTGTTTTCAGTTTAGGGGAGGAAAATTGCAGCCAGGCCTCTGCCATAACTAGCAATACTTAGCACCACTCTCTCCCTCCCCAGATTAAAATGAGTTGTCCTGTAGTAGGGTAGCTAATGACCACTCTGTGACAACCAAAAATCTCAGTGGCTTAACACAATACAGGTTAATTTCTTACTTCTGTCACAGATCAATGAGAAATCAAAGGTGAGGAACTCTGCTCCATATAGTCATTCAGGGACCCAAGCCCTTTCCCTAGTGGCTCTGTTATCTCCTAAGACTTGGAATCCCCCACTACATCCTCAGTGTACAGCCAGCAGATGAAAGACCAGAGAGAGTGATGGATCACAGGGGACACTTTTAGGAACCAGGACCAGAGGTGGTATACGGCACTTTCACCTGCATCCCACTGGTCGGGACTGAGTCACATGCCCCAGCAAACTACAAGAGAGGCTGGGAAATGTAATCTAGCCATGTGCCCAAAAGGAAAAGGAAATGGAGGTTGGTGAACACATAGCAATCACCTCTCAGCCTGGAGTGCTTGGTCTGCAACCTAACCCCTCAATAAGCCCCATATCTTGAAGAATTTCAACCTTGTCTCAACCAAGCAGCCCAACCACAGCTGCTCAACCTGCCCCTAAGTATCAACTTAATGACATTGGTTCTCACACAATTGCTAGTCTTCGTTCATCCAATAAACAGTTACTGAGCACTTAATCATCCCCCAGTTGTTATGCTATACACCAGAGAGGCAAAGGCAAGTAAAAAAGTGGTCCCTGCCCTCAAGAAGACCCCATCTTGTATAACCTCATTCAAACCTAAGGAAAACATTTACTATATTATTATTTCGCCATTTAAAATCCTTTTCTTGGCTGGGTGCGGTTGCTTACGCCTGTAATCCCAGCACTTTGGGAGGCCGAGGCGGGCAGATCACTTGAGGTCAGGAATTCAAGACCTGCCTGGCCAATATGGTAAAACCCTGTCTCTACTAAAAATACAAAAATTAGCCGGGCATGGTGGCAAGTGCCTGTAGTCCCAGCTACTCAGGAGGCTGAGACAGGAGAATCACTTGAACCCAGGAGATGGAGATTGCAGTGAGCCGAGAAAGCACCACTACACTCCAGCCTGGTGACAGAGCAGGACTCCATCTCAAACAAACAAACAAACAAACAAACAAACAAAAAAACCCTTTTTTTGTCAAACATACAGGAAGGTGCCTAAAAAATAGGAACCTCACACAAATGTTAATTGCTTGTTATTGGGGAATAGGGGGTATCACCCAGGGCATGGTCTTGACTCCCAGTACAAGTGATCATGCCTCTTCCTTTGTTCCTTTGCCAGTTAACTCCTGGGATTATCCTCCGCCATGCTTCTCCCAGACTGACATGTGGGGAAGGCTGGCATCTCCATGTTTCTAACCTCTCTTCTGGTTGCCTCATAAAGTGTCTGGCTGTGGATCCGCTCCAGCCCCATACCAGCCCCAGGGCAGCAAGGCCTACCAAGAGGCCCAGGCAGCAGGTACTTATCTCCAGAACCATCAGGTATTTCGTGATGAGGTCTGAGGATTTATGATGGTGGTGCCTGGCTTCCTCAGTCTCCAACCAGGCACCATGAATGAAGTAGTGGGTAGGGTCTGCTGTCTGTACAACATCAAACATGCCCCAGATGCTCTTCAGAGTAGAAATCCATCAGGAGTTTTTGATTGTCCAGCATTAACTCCCTTAATCATCTGGGACAACTCCCCATTGTGCGGTATGGGATAAATGCAGTCCCTCCCCATCTCCAACCACCTCCAGAAATGGAAATGAGGAGGTTCTCTTTTTGACCTCCGCCACACTGAGCAGGCCTGGGAACGTGACCTAGGCTCAGCTAATCAGCCATTCCTACCAGGGATTTTGAGGCTGGAATGAGTGACCGAAGCAAAGGGCCAGTTCAGGGGCATTTGAGGAAGAGGTAGTATGTCTGATGGCAATGGTGACAGTGCTCTGGAGGCTGGGAGCAGGGGCAGCAATTTGGGGTCAGCCTGACCCAGATAAAACGCCTTTGTGCTCTTTGCGTCACTCCTGGTCACTTTCCAAGCCTGCTTTTCTAACCCCCAACAACTCTGTGAACCCCTGATAGCCTTCCTGTAATTTCCCTTTTTCCCTTATAGTCAAAGCCTCTGACTGATATGATGCCAAACCACCTCCGAGTCAAGGCCACATAGGATGGAGCGCACAGACAGACCAAAATCGCCTACTCCAACCCACCTCCACGCCTGCCTAAACAAATCCATCCACCTCCTGCCCAAGCAGAGCTCTGAGAGGTCATCTCCAAGCATCACAAGAGCTGACGAGAGGATGCTGCTGTCAGGGGTCAGGGTCAACTCCAGGAGAGGAGTTGAGGTGATGCTGCTGTTCACCTCTGAAAGTCTCTAAAAACAATCACAATAAGATCCAGCAGAATTTCAGAGGACTTCAGGCTCTTCAGAGGATGGGCTCTTCAGATACAGAAAAGCTGAAACTCACCTGGTTAAACTTAGTCCCCGCATTGAAGAGGGCCCTTTGGGTACTGGGGGCTAGTTTAGGGAAATTCTGAAACGCCTTTTTACATCTCCCAAAGAATGCAGAAACTCATTTTGGATCCTTTAATGCAATCTGACAGGTAATATGTCTTAGTCCATTTTCTGATGTTATAACAGAATATCACAGACTGGGTAATGTATAAATGATAGAAGCTTATTTGGCATATGGTTCTGGAGGTTGGGAAGTCCATGAGCATGATGCTGGCATCTTGCAAGGGCCTTCATGCTGCATCATCCCATGGCAGAAGGTGGAAAGACAAGTGAGCATGCAAGATAGAGAGAAGGAAGGAGCAAACTTATCCTTATATCAGGAACCCACCTCCATGATAACTAACCCACTCCTATGATAAGGCATGAATCCATTCAGGAGGGCAGAGTCCTCATGACCTAATCACCTCCTATTAGGCTCCACCTCCCAACACTGTTGCATTGAGGATTAAGTTTCCAACACATGAGCTTTGGGGGACACATTCAAACCACAGCAGCTAGTTGTGGAGTACAGGCTTTAAAATACACAGAGGCCAGCTATGGCGGCTCATGCCTGTAATCCCAGCACTTTGGGAATCTGAGGCAGGAGAATCACTTGAGGCCAGGAGTTTGAAATCAACCTGAGCAACACAGCAAGACCCTGTCTCTACAAAAAAAAATTAAAAAATTAAAATAATAATAATAAAATACAACCTCCCCCAGCAATGGTATGAACACCTTCATAGTTCTAAATCAGTCTGTACTTTTCCCTCATTCTCCCCTGAACATGTACCTGATTTGGAATCTTGACACATCTAAAAGTTCTCTCCCTGCACCAGTTATCCCATCCCTCTGGTTACAGTTTCCCCTGTTATTGGCTAAGAATGACTACCATCTAATCTCACTCTCTGAGGCATGGACCCACGAGGCATGTGTTAGTCAGGATTCTCCAGAGAAACAGAACGAATAGGATGTAGCTATAAAGAGAATGAGACTTATTATAAGAAATTGGCAGCCTTGGCAACATAGTGAGACCCTGTCTCTACAAAAAAATTAAAAGTTAACCAGGCATAGTGGTGCATGCTTTTAGTCCCAGGTCCTTGGGAGACTAAGGTGTGAGGATCACTTGAGCCCAGGAAGTCGAGGCTGCAGTGAACCATGAACGCATCACTGCATTCTAGTCTGGGCAACAGAGCAAAACCATGTCAAAAAAAAAAAAAAAGGAAAGAAAGAAAGAAATTGGCTCATACAATTATGGAGACTGCCAGATCCCAAGATCTGCAGTGGGCAGTCTTGAGACCCAGGAGAGCTGATAGTGTAGATCCAGTGTGAGGGCCTGCAGGCTCAAGACCCAGAAAGAGCCGATGTTGCAGTTCGAGTCCGAAGGCAAGAAAAAACCCAAAAACCAATGTTCCCACTTGAAGACAGTCAATAGGAGGAATTTCCTCTTCTTCCAGGGAGGGTCAGCCTTTTGTTCTATTCAGGCCTCCAACTGACTGGAGGAAACCCGCCCACATTAGGGAGAACTATCTGCTTTACTCAGTTATCAACTGAAATGTGGAAGACTTATCCGAAGACACCCTCACAGAATCACCTGAAATAATGTTTACCAAATATCTGGGCACCCCATGGCTCAGTCAAGTTGATGCATACAACTAACCATCACAGACCTTAATAAATTTTTGCCCTTAGATAACTCCTTTTCCAGCTATCACCCCCTGCCAACATACACACACACTCTCCTCAGAAGAAGAACTATGGTAGAAATTCTATAAATCCCCTAACAATAGGAAACTGGGCAACTATGCTATGTCCTGGCCAGATGAGCAACTCCTGAAGAAATTATCATTCTCCTTACTAAGCCATGGTCTCATCTCCTGCCCATATTCCACCGATGCCCAGTCTCACCCCTCTGACCTTTTCTTCACACTCCTGCATCCACTACCTGGTCCCGACTCTTATCATCTCAAGCCCAAACTACTGTGATCGCCTCTGAATGAGTCTCTCTATCTTCCCTTTCCCCAATGTATCCTCCACACTGCCACCAGGTTACAGAATCTTGGTGAACAAACAAAACACATTCTTCCAGTTCTGAGTTCACAAAATTATTTAATGATTCTTCATTGACTATAAAATTCAATTCAGTACAACAAATACTTTTAGCATCTGCTGTGCACCAGGTCTGTGACCACCACAGTGAGTAGGCTGTGGCCTTCCCATCAGTGGACTCACTGCCTACCTCTAGGAAGAGGCAGACAAATACAGTCCCAGGCAAAAAAAAAATTAAAATCCCAAATTTTTTTTTTTTTTTTTTTTTGAGACAGAGTCTCACTCTGTCACCCAGGCTGGAGTGCAGTGGTGCAATCTCGGCTCACTGCAACCTCCACCTTCTGGGTTCAAGCAATTCTCCTGCCTCAGCCTCCTGAGTAGCTGGGATTATAGGCACGCGCCACCATGCCCAGCTAGTTTTTTGTATTTTTAGTGAGACGGGGTTTCACCATGTTGGTCAGGCTGGTCTTGAACTCCTGACCTCATGATCCATGTGCCTCAGCCTCCCAAAGTGCTGGGGTTACAGGCATGAGCCACTGTGCCCAGCTAAATTCCCAAATCTTTTAACCAAGAGAGGCTGACATCCATTGTTCTTATCTACCCAGTATCCATTTTCCCTTATCTTGGCAACAGCATCTGGTCTTCCATTGGGGAATATCTTAATTTGGATTCCCCAAAAGCAGACCTTTAGACAGATTCAAGTGTGAGAATTTATTTGGGAGGAAGTTCTGGGAAATACCAGTAGGCAAGTAGGAAAGTAAGATGGAGAAGGAAGGAAGTCAATGCAGAGTGTATCATCATTCAAGTGACCACACTGAGCAACTGGAACTTAATCCTACTGGGGAACTCTGAGAAACACTGTAGAACATGAGCCACAGAGTCATCTCACCCGAGACAAAAAAAAAATGGGGTATTCATCCTCCAACTCCAACAGCCATTGGCCAAGGACTGCTCTTAGGAAGTGTTAACTCCCTGGCATTTCTGGCCTTTCTTGAATGTGTTCAGAGTGGGCTCTGGTGGTGAGAGAAAGCCCTCAGGCAAAGACATGAGGGTGTTAACAGTAGAAAATTAAACCAGCATCCACCGAAATGGTAAGGACCAAGGGGATAAGGATGGGGCACTGGCAGCATCTGCTACAGTGGCCATTCCTCCATATGGTTGGGGTGGAGATGAACTTGCCCTCTTGGGCCACGTCCCAGACCTGGTCAGTGAGAAAGCCCACATCCCTCTGGTCATGGTTGTAGTTCCAGCAGGGTTAGAGGATAGTTGTTCATGACCCAGACTGAGCCAACCAACCAGCCTCAGTCCTAAGAATTCTGAGAATTCTTCTGGAAATATTTGGCAAGAGATGGCTGAACTGAGGTGACGTAAGCCTAGAGTTGCCAGGGACCACCACATGGAGAAAGCCTCCTGGGAAATGAAATCAATGCAGATGAGCCAGAGCTGAGAGAAGGAGAGAGACTGAGCCCTGATGACATCTTTTGAGAACATGGATCCAGCTATGTGTCATACTCATGCCCTTGGGCTTTTTAATTAGATGAAATGATAAATTCCATTTTATCTTAAGTAAATTTGAATTGGATTTCTATCACTTGAAACTAAAACAGTCCTGACTAATTCATGAGGCAACCAAGATCCTCCAAAATATGGTCTCAACTCCAGTTTTTGTTGTTTTCATCTATAATTCTTCTATTCAAATCCTGTACTTCTCCTAGACTTAGAATTGACTGTCCACCCCCATGGAGCTCGTTGATAGCCACACCCTCCATCCGCTCCAGGCTTCGCTCACCTCATTTCTATCCCCTAGGACTGCTTTTTCCTCTTCACTGTCTGTCTAAATCCTACTCATTGTTCAAGACCCACCTCTGGTCCTGCCTCCTCCAAAAAGCCATCCTAACTACCCCAAACCACAGCTCTCCTCTGAGCAACGTGATCACTTATCCATGCCATTCGTTTGGTGCTCATTATATAGGATTTGGTATGTTTATAACGATGGCATTAGTGTGTTTCCTGGCTCCCCATTCAGATCAAAAGCCATGTGTGTAACTGTTTGTGTCTTTCATGATGCCCAGAATTGACTAGTACTGTAATATGCAAAACAATACCATGGTTGACTCAAATCTTTTTGAAAGAATCTTAAAAATAAATAAATGGTAAAAACAGTTTTACTTGGTTGATTGAAGAACCTAGAACACAAGCATTTCTTACTTCTCTATTTTGCCCAAGATGAACTGAGCTTAATGCTATTGAGGGAAGTCCACCAGGGACTCTATCACTTCACCCACACAGTGGGGCACTTTCAACAGATCACCTTTTCCTGAGCATCTCAGGCCATAGTTCACAGACTTCTTGTAGTAGATATCTGTCATTCTTGACTTCCAAAAGCTTTTGCATAATCTCTCCACATTTTAAGGATATTCACATTGAATTTGTGTCTCTCTGCATAGATGTGTGGGTGTAGACATTTCTCAGCTTTGCTTGCTGCTGGGTACAGACACATGGCTTAGGTTTTGCCACTTAGATGCACCCACATGAGACTTTGATTTGGAAGTGAGCTACATGAGGAAACAGAAGGGGTGCAGGCCCAGATGGCAGCAGGTACAGCAGGTTTCTGGGGCTGGAGGTGGCAGTGGCAGCTCTTTGCCTGCAGCAGAGACAACCATGGTTCATGGTTGGCAGTGGTAACAGCTTCTTACCGACCCAATCCTGCAGTGTGTCTCTAGGAAGTGTTCATGGAATTTCAGCTTAGAGCTTGTTCCTTCAGCCCTTCTGACAATTCTGTGATCTTCCCAATATCCCCAAATAAACCCCTTCTTAAACTTGCTAGAATGAATTCTATTGCCTACAAATGTGCACTCTAACCAATGCAACCCTGATGTCCACCATTTGGCCAGGTAGCTTTCTCCATGTCCCAGACATAAACTGAAGTTGTGCAACCTCACCTGTGTGATGACCAGCTTCAATTCTTCCATAGATCAAAGGCCCTGGAGCCTTTGGGTTTATCTGCTATTGTAGTCTGGGAGAAAAGAGAAGAGGCTGAGCAGCAAGACCAGATGGCCATGGAAAATTCCTAGTACTCGGGGTTCCTGGTATTCTGGAAGTTTTTCCTAGTCTGAGTAGGGATTCTGGCTGGGCGCAGTGGCTCACACCTGCTATTCCAACACTTTGGGAGGCTGAGATGGGGGGATCGCTTGAGACCAAGGGTTCAAGAACAGCCTGGGCAATATAGTGAGACCTTGTCTCTACAAAAAAATTTAAAAATTAGCTGAGTGTAGTGACCTGACCCTTGCACCTGAAGCCCCAGCTACTCAGGAGGCTGAGGCAGGAGGATCACTTGAACCCAGGAGGCAGAGGTTGCACTGAGCCGAGATGGCACCACTACACTCCAGCCTGGGTGACAGAGTGAAACCTTGTCTTAAACTGAATTAATTTAATTTAAAAGGGATTCTCCCATTCATCCCAAAGGTGACTCTTAGTTGACTGGAAGGTTTCACTAAATAAATATAGAATTGCTTTATGTCTCCTAAAGACTTTCTTGGCACCAGACATTAAAGATTTTAAAAACACTCAACTCTCTCTCCCAACATGAGGCTGCCTCTGACTCTACATACCAAGTTCCTCTCCTTCAGGTTCCTCTTGTTGGCTTCTGACTCAGCTAATTTTCCCCTTCTTTAGGCCTCTTGAAGACTTTTCTCAGCTCCCCAAACCCTGCTTCTGCATAAATGCCTAAATCATATTTTCCCCTGTAGTGCTCAGTCACTTCCCAGTAAAACTTGACCATGAGTCTGTGAGGTCTGGGGGTCTGGAGCTGGTGCTGTGGCTGAGCTTCAGCCTTCATAAATATCTTTCTCTTTTGCCTGATCCTGAATTCTAGGGAAAATCTTTCCTCCCTGTTTCTCACTCTCTACTCTAGCTGGCTCCAGACTATGCCAAGGGATTCCCCAATCAGCAAATTGGGCTACTTGTCCAAACTTTATGGCCTCCTTTAAGGGTGCCACTGAAGACAAAGATAACAGGATCATGGGGATCCCCTGACCTCCTAATGTGGAAGCCTGTGCATGCTGGGTTTATTTCTATGTGATCACCAAAGATATTCCACAGAAATCCTCCCCAATCACCCTGCTTGTCATTCATTCATCAAAAGTTTATTCCCTGCAGAAATTGCTTTGGACTGAAACCCTATAGGAGGGTAGGTTCGGGATGGCTTGCCAGGGCCTCTCATAGACAGACTTTCATAGACAAGTCCTTGCCAACAGCTTAAGGGGAAACGAGGTCCCAGGAGGCCCCCGGCTGTCTGATCATGTGACCTTCCTGGCTCCGTTACAAGGACGTCCTGTTCCTCTTGGAGTGATGGCTCTACTGAGGAAGTGACTGTGTCATATCTGGGACAGGAAAAAAGCTATTTCAAGTCCTGAAGTAATCACTCGGTTAGGTAGTGCGGTCTCTTCAGAAACTGCCTGGACAGTGGAGAAAGACCAGTCCTGAGGGAAGGTAAATGGAAGCCCGTGTCACTAGGGCAAAGGAGGACCCACTAGAAGAAGAATGGCAGGGGTTGTCATGTCAGTCCTCCATTTGTGATACATTTCTGGCCGGTCATGAAGAAATGGCATGGGGGAACAATACACATGACCCCCAAACCAAGACGCAGAGGTCTCTCCACATATCTGGGTAAGCAGGAATGAATGAGAACATCCTCACATTCATGGCCTCCTTGGGTTTTAAAAGTACATTGAGAAACAGGATGGTACCTAATGGCCCATGAAGGTCTCTCCTCGGCTGGCTGGCTTTCCCCATGTGCAACAAGAGATTTAGGAGATTCGTTTGTATATTTCCATCAAGAATTCTGGGAATCAGACCTGAAACTTACTATTTCCTTATCACTTGGGTAGACTGGGGAAAATAATGGTTATATTCAGAAAGCTCATGGACCCACACATACTGATCAGTCAATGGTTCCTTAACACTTAACTAGTGTTAAGGAAACAAGAGAAAGGGAGAAGACCTTTATCCTGAAAATATCACCTATGTCTTCAGGGCCAAGCCATTTACCTGGGCCTGCCTAGCATACTGTAGGTGTTCATCATGTACTTTTTGGGTGAGTGGGTTCGTGTTTATGTCTAGAATGTTTGCATCCTTCTACATTCTCAATTTCCTCAAGAACAGAAGCCATGTATCTGCTTGAGTCCCAGAGTAGTAGAAAGAATCCTGGGCCTGGATGTGCTTCTCATCAATCAGTTGAACATGTTCATCTTTATTTGCCTGATAAATTAAAAAATAGGAGAGAGGCAATCAAAGGCAGAACGGTGGCAAGTCTTACTACAAGTCTATAGGGCTCTTTGTTTACCTCTAGGAAACCCTGGCTTCATCCAAGCAATCTCTCTCCATTATTATGCAAAATCAAGAAAATAATAATAGTAACATTCCTGCCAGAAATTCCAGGGCAACGCTGTTTTAGGCATCTAGGTTGGAGATGGCAGATATTTGGCATGCTTGCAACTACCTGATATTCCGTGTTCCTGACAGACATCGTGAATCAATCATTCTAATCATCACTAATCACTAATCATCACTATTCTGCTGACCCTCAGAGTCTTTCTCAACATTGCATTCCAGGCAGCCACTACCAATCAACTAGAAATCACACATGCAAAGGATGTTATCTCTGCTGTAGTCCATGATGGCATGTGATACTTTCATATCCTAAACCAATCTGAAAATTCTCACAAATACTCTTGATAATAAGTATCACTGCAATTACAGAATTACAGATCTGAAAGAGACCTTAGAAATCATCAGCTTTAATCCAAAATGCAAGATGAGCCTGGAGCATCTCGTATGGCAGATAGGACACTGAAGTCCACAGAGGGTAACCAACTCGCCCTAATTCAGAGTGTTAGTTAATGTCATTAGCAGTCCCTTACATCTGTATAGTGCTTTAGAGATGACAGTGTACTTTTAACTGAAGGACCTCATATGATTCTTTATTCATTCATCCAATAAATATTTATTGAATTCCTACTGTGTTCTATGTACTATGCTGGAGGTTAGGAAACCAGCAGTTAGAAGGAAGAAAGAAAAGAAAAAAAAGCTTTGATTCCTGTCTTACAGTTAAGCAAGGAGCCTTAAAATAACTCCATGACCTGAACAGGATAGACACTACTATCCTCAGCTTTGCAGATGCTAGAGGGTGACAATTAAGAGAGGACATGACACGCTTAAAAACGGCAGCTCTGGAATTCACAACATCCCTCAAGTCGCCACTTTTAGATGAGATCATTACTGTTGCAACATGTGGGAAGCAAATTTCCAGACCCATCAGGCATTTCTTAATTAGCTCTCTGACCACTTCAGAATGCTTAAGGTATGAAAGAACCTCTCTATTTAGGGAATGATGGCAAATTCTCCCGGCCCTGTAGAAACAATTTCAAAGGGTCTTTCTCTCCAAACCTGCAACCCCTTGACCTTGTAGCCCATGCAGTGTGGTGGGAAGAGCACAGATATGGGAGCACAGAGTTCTGAATCCTATTCCCACCCATGGCTCTAACCAACTAGTTCATCTTGGACAAGGTACATCACCTCTCTAGGCTTCAGTTTCCCCATCCATAAGGAAAGTGAGTTGAACCATGAGATCTCTAAGCTTCCTTCCCACTGACATCTGACAATTCTGCCTGACCAAAAAAGACAGAGCTTCCCAGCCGTACTTCACCTTCTCCTTTCACCAGACATTCTCTGCAACAGCTGGCTTTGCAGCCCAGACCCACCAAGAAAACAGCAACTCTAGGAAAGGTGGTATGGTCCAGCAAAGCCCAAAGTAGTTCTAATCATGATCCAGCTGATCATGTGACCTGAGACAACCAGTTCAACCTTCATATGTCATGGTTTCTTCTTCCCCCATCCAACAATGATATGATAAAAGAAACCAGATGTAGAAATGCTTTGGAAATATTAAGATGTGCCCATCAAGAAGGAAAAAAAAGAAGCTGACCTAAGTAACTTTGGAAAATGATGGGGTTTTTTTCTTTTTTATTTCACTGTCACAAACTTCACACACAATGGAAAATGATGTGTTTGACTGGAATCTGTAAAGCTAAAAAAATACTGTGCAAAAAGAACTCTGCAAAAACACTATACTCTAGTTGATAAATTTACTTTTCATAGGGAACTACATTGGTGATTCTGAAACTACTTCACATGTATACTAGGGTTGAACAAATATGTAAATAAATTATAGATAATGGGAGTCAGGTTTCTCACCATCAGAGAAAAAAGCAGCAGTGAGAAAAGGGAGAAGGTTAGAATGAAACCTGCAGGGTTGGATTCAAGTCAGAGATAATACAAATTCTTTCTTTTTTTTTCTTTTTTTGGGGACAGAGTTTCACTCTTGTTGCCCAGGCTACTGTGCAATGGCACGATCTTGGCTCACTGCAACTTCTGCCTCCTGGGTTCAAGTGATTCTCCTCCCCAGCCTCCCAAGTAGCTGGGACTACAGGCATGCACCACCACACTCAGCTAATTTTTTTATGTTTTTAGTAGAGACGGGGTTTCACCATGTTGATCAGGTCGGTCTCAAACTCCTGACACAGGTGATCCACCCACCTTGGCCTCCCAAAGCGCTGGGATTGCAGGTGTGAGCCACTGCGCCTGGCACAAACTCTTTTTAAAAGTATATATACAAATAGACAGATACACAAACATAGATATGCACATATTCATGGGTTAGCATACATACATATATACATAAATATATGTAAATATTCCTAACTGTTCACTGAGAGGGCCTAGAAGCAATGACACCCCAGTAGCAACGAGCACACCCAACACTCAGAAACATGGTTTCTAAATACCATTCTCTGATTAAAGGAACCAGGCTCCTTGGAGAAATAACTGATTCTAGGGCTAAAGCAGTGAAAACACAAGGTGAGTTTTGGAGCAGCTTGTAATGCCAGAAAGTAAGGAATTGGAAAAAAAATGGGGGCCCCAAAACTATGTACATCCATTATGCATCATTTTTTTTTTTTAATGTGGGCATGTCAAAAGGAACCAGGAGTTCCCAACGAGCAAGGCTGGAACAATTTAAGCAACAAACTAATGAAAGGATTGGATGATATAGAACCATGATGATTCTTATAACCCAAAGAATAAAAGAAATATCCATGAGTCCATGCCAATATAAATAAATTAATATATGAACTACAGAGAATCTTTTCTTTGCAGTGAGATACTCACAGGTCACTGTAGCCTCAACCTCCCGGTCTCAAGCCGTCCTCCTACCTTAGCCTCCCAAATAGCTGGGACTACAGGTGCGTGCCACTATACCCAGCTAATGTTTTGTATTTATTGTAGAGACAGAGTTTTCCCATGTTGCTCAGGCTGGTCTTGAACTCCTGGGCTCAAGTGACCCACCTGCCTTGGCCTCCCATAGTGCTGGGATTACAGGTATGAGCCACCATGCCCAGCCTGAGACAAATTTTCATAAGATTAAATTCCAAAATATATATGTACATTCTCCCTTCTCCAGGAAGTAGAGTTTCATTTCCTTCCCTTTGAATATGGGCTAGACTTATTGACCCACTTCTAATAAGTAGAATACAGAAAGGGAAAAACAGTAACTTCACAGTGGAGAAACGGCAGAGCCACCTTAACCATGCAAATAAAGTTAACTTCACCATTGATAAGCCATGTTGATATCATGTACCTCCTTATGGCATGCAAAGAAGAAAGGACTTTTCTTCTAAAAAATCCATAACCCTGGTCTAATTATGAGAAAACATTAGATAAACCCAAACACTCAATAAAATACCTGAAAGTGTCAAAGTTATGAACAATAAGGAACAACTAAGAAACTTTTCACAGGTGAGAGAAGACACGACAAGTAAATGCAATATGGTATCCTGGATTACATCCTGTGACAGGAAAAGGACATTAGTGGAAAAACTGGAGAAATCCACAGTCTGTAGTTTAGTTATAGTATATTATACCAGTGTTCATTTCTTAGCAAGGAAATGTTACCTGTAAGAAAGGATCACTACACCTACTTTTTTTTTTTTTTTTTTTGAGACAGAGTCTCACTTTGTCACCCAGGCTGGAGTGCAATGGCACAATCTTGGCTCACTGCAACCTCCACCTCCTGAGTTCAAGTGATTCTCCTGCCTCAGCCTTCTGAGTAGCTGGAATTATAGGCACATGCCACCATGCCCAGCTAATTTTTGTATTTTTAGTAGAAACAGGATTTCGCCACATTGGCCAGGCTGGTCTCAAACTCCCAACCTCAGGTGGTCTACCTGCCTTGGCCTCCCAAAGTGCTGAGAGTACAGGCTGGAGCCACCGCACCTGGCCTGCACCTGCATTTTGAGGTAAGGCTGAAAATCTAGACCACTAACTACAGGGTGCCTGTCCCACTGGCCAGGGACCAGATATGCCACCGTTTGAAACAAATTCAAGGATAGGGGCCTGACTGAGCATTGATGGCCATGAGGGTGGGGAGCGAGAAATCACTTCTGTTGTGCCCCTCAGTTCTTACCTCTAGGCAGAGTCATTCCATGGGAGCTGTTTCTCTGAAAGGGGCCTGGTTTGTGATCAGAATCTATTGTCAAAAAGAAAGAAAGTCCCTTCTCCCACGCAAATGCCAGGCAGGGGGGTGGAGCCAAATGATCACAGGACCCTCATTTTCTGCAACAGTGATTGCTTTGTGTAAAGGGGGCAAGATGCCAGGGCAACTGCTGGGGAAACTGCCGGCTGCCCAGCATTGCAAGGCTCCAGGTGTTTGGGGAATTTCAGACTTAGGCCAGTGGAAGAAAGAGAACTTGACCACGTGGACTCCACCATCTTCTAGGGGTACTCGTCAGGGAAATAATGGGGAGATGCTGCTCCTTCCTGTTTCGCAGACGCAGCAGCAATACTTGTGGCATAAGAGCAAAGCCCCTCCAGAGGGGACAATTTTAAAGCTAAGTGTCCCTGGCATGAGTTACCAGGGTAGCCAAGCTTTACAAAGACAGGGTTAATTCTTTCAAGTGTTTAACTTTAGTGATTTGGTTTTGATCAAAATCTTTTTTTTTTTTTTTTTTTTTTTTTTTGGTTTGTGTGTGAATCAGAGTCTCACTCTGTCGCCCAAGCTGGAGTGCAGTGGCGTGATCTCGGCTCACTGCAACCTCTACCTCCCAGGTTCAAGCGATTCTCCTGCCTCAGCCTCCTGAGTAACTGAGACTACAGGCACCCGCCATCACACCCGGCTAATTTTCATGTTTTTTAGTAGAGACAGGGTTTCGCCATATTGGCCAGGCTGGTCTTGAACTCCTGATCTCAAGTGATCCACCCGCCTCGGCCTCCCAAACTGCTGGGATTACAGGCATGAGCCACCGTGTTGATCAAAATCTTTTTTAAAACTTGTTACTCCTTCATCCATTAAACAGAGCTTGCAAAATATAAATGAACGTTTCCTTGGTGGTTGAAGGTCATTATTGGGAGCATCAGTTATGCCGAGTGCTGCAAAGTGAAACCAGAGACTCAGAAGTGCATTCAGCGTTTGGGACACTTTGCTGAATGGGTCGTGATCTCAGCAACAGCTCTGAAATTTGCCTTCTTGAAAGAATCCCTGACATCAGCTCATTTTTCTACTTTAGAAAAGTGCAGAGCATGTTCACTGTTCTTCACAAAGGCAAAACAGAACCCTGGCCCCAGAAGCTATGTGACCTTCACCAAGTGATGTCATCTCTTAGTGGCTGTGATTCTTCATCTGTAAACTCGGGAATAGCGTTATTAGATAATGCATGTTTAGAACATGCCTTCGATGCATTAGAGCAGGGCTTGGAACAGCGTTCAGCATGTCAGAAGCGCTCAGGGGGTTAACCGCTGTTACTACCGTTTGCAGATGAAGACAAGTCCCAGGTCTGGTTAGTTCAATCTGCCTCTTTTCACTGTAGTCTCACCAACATTGGCTGGCTGTCTGGGAAGCAACACCACCAGTGACCTCTTCTGGGTCTCGTGGCCACCAGCCATTGTGCCCATTCTAATCAAGGAGGCTCACCTCCAATTTATGCCTTTTCTAGTAAGAAAGGACAGAAAGAATTTCCCTGAGTCAAGTCCTTGCCAGAGTAGGGGCCTCTTGCAATCCGTGCCACGAAGTCCCGGAAGGAAGCTCTGCAAATGTGCGCTCAGGGCTTGTCAAATGAGCAGAAGGGCGGTTAAGTAACAAAGTAACTGCGGAGTCAGGCGCGGAGGGGAACAGCGTCTCTAACCACGGCGACCCTGTTCTTCTCTGGGCGCTTCCACTGAGTTATTAGATCAGCACTTGGCTGAGATGGGAGTGGAAGAACCCGGGAGGGAACGGGCCCAGGTCTTCATGTAGAAAAAGGGGCCCTGGCCCCTCGGGGTATTCAGGGCGCCGACCACCACGGCCTCGTCGCCCTTTTCCCCTAAAGCCCTGGAGGAAGGCACTCTCTGGCCTGAAGTTCGCCTGTCCACTGGTGATACCACCCGCCGCAGCGTTTCCAGCTGGGAAGGAGTTGGACATGACCGTACCCGCAACAGCTGCGCTCAGCACTGCCCGGGGCTGCCCCCATCCCTACCCCTACCCCGGGGGCTCCGGAAACCCCCCACAACCCCCGCAGATTTACCAAAATCCAGGGACCCTCTTACCCCCCCTCCCCTCCTCCCCAGGTCACCCACAGACACACACACATTTCCTGCCCTGCCAAAAATAAAGCTGGAGGGCGCTGGGGGTGCGCTTGCCACCAGCCCCTCCGGGGAGACTGCTGCCTCGCTGCACCCCTCCAGTGAGAGGACCACCCCCTTCATTTCTGCTGCCTTCCTCCTCCTTTGCTTTGGTGGATGTCACCCTGGCTCTGCCAAGGCCCTGGTGGAGGTTGCTCTCAAGGCATGGGCTGGAACCCTGCCCCTCTTCTGCTAAAGACACATAGCCCTCCTTCCTTATAAAAGCAGTTATACGGCCGGGCGTGCTGGCTCACGCCTGTAATCCCAGCACTTTGGGAGGCCGAGGCGGGCAGATCACCTGAAGTTGGGAGTTAGAGACCAGCCTGACCAACATGGAGAAACCCTGTCTCTACTAAAAATACAAAAAAAAAAAAAAAAAAAGAAAAAAAAAGAAAAAAGAAAAAAAAAATTATCTGGGCCTGGTAGCACATGCCTGCAATCCCAGCTACTCGGGAGGCTGAGGCAGGAGAATGGCTTGAACTAGGGAGGCGGAGGTTGCGGTGAGCTGAGATCGCGCCATTGCACTCCAGCCTGGGCAACAAGAGAGAAACTCCGTCTCAAAAAAAAAAACCACACAGTTTATACCTTCATAGTACATGTCCCTAACCTCGACCCACCAATAGAGCAACTCCCTGAGAGGACGATCAAGAGGTCAAGCTTGTTTGGGGTGAGCCCCACTCCTGGAAATCTGGAGGGGGGCAGAAGTAGTGCCCCTGACATCTGGTGGGTCATAGGTGCTCAGTCGTTATTTATTTTTGCTCTCCTCCTCCTCATTTTCTTCCTCAATATCAGCTCCTCTCTCTGCATACACCTCCTCCTCCTTACACCTCTCTCTCCTTCCTGCTCCATCCCTTCTTCACTTTATCTCCTTTGGACGACTGCCTCCTGCCTGCTGGAGCACTGAGTGGGGCTGAGGAAGCTCCCTGTGCACCCTGCACCCCCTTCTCTTGGCTGCTAAAACTCTGACCCAGCCTCCTACACCACAACCCTACTTGTCCCTAATTCACTCTGGCTCCTTCTCCACCCCGTCACCCTGGCTTATGCAGTGTAGTCTTGTTGAAGACATCGGGTCTATACCAACCTGGACATCCATAATTGCTTCCTGAAACACATTTATGCAAGATCTCAGGATTTTGTGGCTTTACCAAACACCTCCCCTGAGTTTTCAAAACACCACCTGATAAATTAGTGTTCATCTTGTTGCAGGTGACAATGATATTACAGTGGTATTTTTAAAGTCCTTATCTTTAGAGATACATTCTTTAACATATTTCCAGGTGAAATGATATGGTGTCATGAGTTTGCTTCAAAGTAATATGGGAGGGGATTAAGCAGATGGGACATGGATAGGGAAGGAATGGCCTTGGGTCAATATTTCTTGGGACTAGGTAATGAGTAGATGAGGGTTCATTATACTCTTCTGTCTACTGCCTCCGTAATATAAAGTTAAATTAATTCTCCAGCCTTCCAAAAAGGGAGAAATGAATTAATGAACAAATATTGGCAAAACATTAGAAATTATTGAACCTGGGTGATAAATACACATGGATTTATTGTGTTATTTTTTCTACATTTTTATGTGTTTGAAAAAATGATTAAAAATGACTTTTTAAATGTTTATTTTTATTTTATTTATTTATTTATTTTGGCCAGGTGCAGTGACTCATGCCTGTAATCCCAGCACTTTGGGAGGCTGAGGTGGGTGGATCACTTGAGGTCAGTAGTTTGAGACCAGCCTGGCCAACATGGCAAAACCCCGTCTCTACTAAAAATAGAAAAATTAGCTGGGCATGGTGGCGGGTGCCTGTAATCCCAGCTACTTGGGAGGCTGAGGTGGGAGGATCTCTTGAACCCCAGAGGCAGAGGTTACAGTGAGCGGAGATCATGCCGCTGCCCTCAAGCCTGGGTGACAGAGTGAGACTGCATTTCAAAAAACAAAAACAAACAAAAAATAATAATAAAATAAAATGTTTAATTTCTTTTTTAATGCCACCTTATCACAAACCCTTCATCTGTGTAAAGCTAGGCCATGGGTATTCAACACGCACTACACAGATGTTGATGGACAAGTGTTTCCTCAAAGATCTCAAGTGCTTCTGCTGCCTCTTCCTTAGATGAGCACACTGAAATGCTCCAGAAAACAGAACTTCTTGGCTGGGCAGTGCTGCTTTGGCATCTCCATGCCTTTGCACTTGCTCTGCCCTCCACATAGACTGGCCTTCCCCAGTCCACCTGCCAAGCTCTTACTCAGTTTCAGCCCCTCTTCTCTAAAGCTTTCTCTGACCCTCCCAGGCCTTGTGTCACCACTGAGCCCTGTACATACCTCTGTGTTATACAGTTCACCTTGAAATCCAATTGTTCCTTGCATGCCTAGCCCCCACCCCACACTAAACTTTTAACTACTTGAGAGCAGGGACTTTATTTTTTATTTTTATTTTTTTGAGACAAGGTCTCGCTCTGTTGGCCAGGCTGGAGTAGAGTGATACAATTATACCTCACTGGCACTTCAAACTCCTGGGCTCAAAGGATCCTCCCGCTTCAGCTTCCTAAATAGCCACATGTACGTGCCACCACATCCAGTTAATTTCTAAAAAATTTTGGTAGAGACAGGGTCTCACCATCTTACCCAGGCTGGTCCTGAACTCCTGGGCTCAAGCAGTCCTTCTGCCTTGGCCTCCCGAAATCCTGGGATTACAGGCATGAGCCACCACGCCTGGCCCAGGGATAATGTTTCATTCAACTTTCCATCATTAGGACTTCAAATACCACCTATATGCTCATGACTCCCGAATCAACATCACCAACCTCACACTCCCCAGCACCAGACTCTTATAGCCAAATGCCTTGAACAAGGCAAATGCCTTCTGAACTTCTCCCCTTGGGTGTTCTACAGACCCCTGAAATTCACCGTGTCCAAAACTGAACACATTGTCTTTCCCCTAAACTTACTCTTCCTGCCATGCCTGAGCAGGTAAACAGAACCCTCCACTCAGTCGCTCAACCCACAAATACGAGGTCTACCCTTCACCCCTCTTCTCCTGCACTTCAGCTACTGATTTCACTTCCTACATAAGCCTTGAATGTTCCCACCTCCCTCATCCCTACAGCCCCTTCCTTGTTCAGGGCACCATTGCCTCTCTCCTAATGACAGCAAAAGCTTCTTCGCTGTTCTCCAATCTTGCCCCCTCCATCCCAAGTCTCCATATGAAAGTCTGATCTTTCTAAAATGCCAATATAATCCTATCATATCCTAATAAAATTCTTCCATGTCGCCCTAAAGTTCAAATTCTTCAACATTGAACATGGCTTACAAAGCCCCTTTGTGACTGACCTCAACTCACCTCACTCCCTATCATTTCTCTCTCCAACCCTGCCTACTAATCCCCAACGCACACACACACACACACACACACACACACACACACACTCAATAAGCTCTAGCCACTTGGAAGGACTTGCAGTTTCCCAGCATGCCTTACTCTTTCTGTGGCACAGACAGCACTGCCCACCAAATATCACATGGGCTCCCCTACATTCCTAGCCCTGTAGCATTTAGATGGAACTGGGTCACTGGTTCTGGACAATGGGTCATGAGCAGAAGTTGGATGATCACTCCAAGGCTAAATCATTCTCTCTCTCTCTTTTTCTTTTTCTTTTTTTTTTTGACAGAGTCTCGCTCTGTCACCCAGTCTGGAGCTGGAGTGCAGTGGCATGATCTCGGCTCACTGCAACCTCTGCCCCCCGGGTTCAAGCGATTCTCCTCCCTCAGCTTCCTGAGTAGCTGGGATTACAGGCATGTGCCACCATGCCTGGCTAATTTTTGTATTTTTAGTAGAGATGGGGTTTCGCCATGTTGGCCAGGCTGGTCTCAAACTCCTGACCTCAAGTGATCCACCAGCTTTGGTCTCCCAAAGTGCTGGGATTACAGGAGTGAGCCACCGCACCTGGCCTCTCTCGCTCTCTCTCTGTCTCTTCCTCCCCAGCCACATGTTGAGATGACAGAGTCTTGAGACGAAAGCACCCTGGATCACTGAGTCACCCCATGGAGGGCAGTGGCTCTGAATGCACATCAGACTCCCTGCAAGTGAGAATAAACTTTTTTCATGTGAAGCCATTGAGAGTTTTGCATCTTTTTCTTTTACTACAGCATAACTCAGCCTATCTCCTCCAGCACATGATTTCTCCTCTGCCTGGAACAACTCTCCCTCCCACCTCTCTACTATCTACCTCCTCACCTGGACAGTTTCTGCTTATGTCAGCCTTAGCTTAGTTGCTGCTTCCTCCTGAACTCCCAAGTCTAGCTCTGGGTTCTTACTAAGAACTTTCTTAACACCCTAGGAGATCCCTCTGAGCACTTTCCACCCTATATTATAAGGGGCCATTCATGTGCCTCTTATTCCTCACCAGGTCTGAGATGGGAGGGCCCATTCCTCTTTCTGCTTCACAGCTGTACCCCCAGCCCCTGCTACAGGGCCTGTATGTAGGGTATCCAATGGATGTTTGCCCAATGAACAGGTAAACTTTGTATTCACAGGACCTAGCTTCTAGCTCAATAAATATTTAATAAATGAATAAATGAATGACTTAACCTCTAAAAGAAAAAAAGATTTGGATTCTAAAAAGTAGCCCAATACTCATAAACAGCCTTGAATTGTAAAACTATACTCACTATATACAAATTAGTGTGCCCACCCCACAGTTCTGCCCTATACCAAAGGTCAACTATTTTACTTCAATGGGTCAATTAGCCCCTCTTTTAGTGGTAAACTATTCGAATTGAGGAATTGGAGGGTGGAAAGTTCTGCTTTTTGATGACTTATGCTCAGCTGGAGAAACTAAATACAGTACAAAAGCTGAAAATCCACAGCCAGGTTCTTACTCTACAGCTTCCTCACTTTTTTCATGTTTGTTTAACATTTTCTCCCCATTACCTATTGGGACGTCAGTAGAACCTGAACTGGACATTAAAACAGTAGCTAAGTAAATAATGCAAGCCTTTTAAGCTCTGGTGCCGTTCAAGGCCACAGCTGTCCCACAAAGCCACTGACACTGCTGTCGGGTCAGGTGGCTGGGAGGGGATGGGAGAGGCTACACGGCCCCTCTCCTTAGCTGTCAGATGCCTATGGAGGCACTCAGACCATTTGGCTTCTCCATTTGTCATTTTCAGCAAGGCCAAGAGCTTGGATCTCTGGGGACCTGGGGCAGGCTGCTGCAATTTTCCCCAAGAGTTCTAGCTCAATCTGGGTGAAACCTTGAGAAATCAGAGAGGAAAGAGCTATCAGTCCGATGCAATTCAAGGCAGCAAAGATGTATTGAGCATTCACAAACCTGAGTCCCTGGAAGGAATATCAAGGAAGCATGTGTCCCAGATGGTGCCTTTAAGGGTCTGTCTTGTTTCTTATGAAAAAAAGACAGAGTTAAGCACATGAGACAAAAAACAAGAGCATAGCACAAGGCAGTGGATAATCAAGTGCCACTTTAAGCCGTTTCAGCTTTACAAGAGGTTAAAAAGGTGAAAGAGTGATGTGATCAAGAGAAGGCAAAGGGGACCTCATTATAATATTGGACGTTGGATGCCTGCTCTGTGCCAGGCCCTACATACATACATTACTGCTCAGTCTTTTTTTTTTTTTTTTTTAGATGGAGTCTTGCTCTGCCGCCCAGGCTGGAGTGCAGTGCAGCTCACTGCAACCTCTGCCTCCCAGGTTCAGGGGAGATTCTCCTGCCTCAGCCTCCCGAGTAGCTGGGATTACAGGCACTTGCCATCATGCCCAGCTAATTTTGTTTTTGTTTTTGTTTTGTATTTTTAGTAGAGATGGGTTTTCACCATGCTGGCCAAGCTGGTCTCAGATGCCTGATCTCGTGATCTGCCTACCTCAGCCTCCCAAAGTTCTGGGATCACAGATGTGAGCCACTGCACCTGGCCTTTTTTTTCTTTTTTTCTCTTTTTTTTTTTAAAGACAGAATCTCACTCTGTCGCCCAGGCTGGAGTGCAGTGGTGCGATCTCAGCTCACTGCAACCTCCGCCTCCCGGGTTCAAGCAATTCTCCTGCCTCAGCCTCCTGAGTAGCTGGGACTTCAGGCGTGTACCACCATGCCTGGCTAATTTTTGTATTTTTAGTAGAGATGGGGTTTCACCATGTTGGTCAGGCTAATTGCGAACTCCTGACCTCGTGATCCACCCGCCTTGGCCTCCCAAAGTGCTGGGATTACAGGCATGAGCCACCGTGCCTGGCCCACTGCTTAATCTTTACAAACCCCATGAGGTAGGCTCAGAGAGGCTAAATAACGTGCCCTAGGTGGCAGAGCTGGTGGACAGCAGAGCCAGGATTTTAACCCAACTCTTACCTCAAAACCTGTGTTCTAGACCACCTCGTCTATACCCTCTCATAATAAGTCTTATTTTTTAGGACTGAGAGCCTGAGCTGAAACCTTCACATAACTTGTTTTTAGCCTCCACACTGTCCTTAGGAGGAGAAATGATTACTGCCACTTGACACTTGGAAAAAAACGGCACTCAGAGAAGTGAATGCTCCAACAGGGAAGGAGGGGAACTGAGAGATCCCTAACTGTAATACAACTCGATTTTATTTAAATTCGGGTATCCTGTGTATTTTCATTTTCCTGTCACTAATTTTTATTTGAACCAAAAAGGCTTTGGAGGTGGAAATGTGACATTTTAGGAGCTGGGCACATCTAGAGATCACCCATTCCTTAAAGACAAATTAATAAGCAATCTTCCTGTGACTCCACTGACCAAGATCATAATTGCTGTGGGCCCCATGAGGAGCCTTAGAGGAGCCTTTGGAGGCAGGCTTTGTGCTATGTGCTTTTGCAGTTTCTTGATGCTTCCTATTGGCAGCAATATTTATTTGACAGTGCATGTAAAACACTCCTATATGACAAGCACAGTGCTAACCCTTCCCCTCCTCACACAAATCTCATTTGAGAGAGGAGAAAACTGAGGGCCAAGGAGGTCCAGTTACCAGTTTGAGATTGTATAACTAGTCAGTTGTAGAACCAGGTTTCCTGCCTCCAAGACCAGAACATGTTTTTACATCTTCCTCAGTCAAAATTGTATGTGGAGTAGGCAGCAGACCACTCCTTAAAGCAATTTTTTTTCTTTTGAGACATAGTCTTGCTCTGTTGCCCAGGCACTCCAGGCAAGATCTGGGCTCACTGCAACCTCTGCCTCGCTGGGTTCAAGCGATTCTCCTGCCTCAGCCTCCTGAGTAGCTGGGATTACAGGTGCCCACCACCATGCCTGGCTAAATTTTTTTGTATTTTTAGTAGAGACGGGGTTTCACCATGTTGGCCAGGCTGGTCTTGAACACCTGACCTCAGGTAAGCCGCCCACCTCGGCCTCCCAAAGTGCTGGGATTACAGGCGTGAGCCACTGCGCCTGGCCCTTAAAGCAATTTTTTTTAAAGTTTTTTTTTAAAGTTTTAAACCAATAAATGTGTATTTTGTTCATATAAAAATATATGAATGGGTATGTGTCCCTCTCATTGACTACCCTTGGAACTTTTGACAAGTAACATAACCTCTCTAAGCCTCAAAGTTTTCACCTATAAAACAATGATAATAGGACACTTCTCATATCACAGATGTGTTATTAAGGTTAAATATCATGCCTGGCACAGTGTAAGTCTCAGTAAGTGACACTTATTAGCAGTGGCAATATTTATTCGTTGCCTACTGTTTTCCAGGCCTCATGCTGTGTATTATAAAATAGCATGTATACAGCCTGGCCAACATGGTGAAACCCTTTCCCTACTAAAAAATACAAAAATTAGCCAGGCACGGTGGCACTCGCCTGTACTCCCAGCTACCCGGGAGGTTGAGGCAGGAGAATCACTTGAACCTGGAGGCAGAGGTGGCAGTGAGCCAAGATCGCGCCACTGCACTCCAGCCTGGGCAACAGAGTGAGACCCTGTCTCAAAATAAAATAAAATAAAATAAAATAAAATAAAATAAAATAAAATAAAATAAAATAGCATGTATAATAAGATCCTAACAGGTATATGTGGAAAAATATACATGGATATAGAAATGAATGGATGGATAGTTAGGTATGATTGGGGGTATACAGAAAAAAAAAGCTGGAATGATGAAAACCAAAATACTCACAGTGAGTATGGGAGGTTTTATTTATTTCTGTGTCTTTATGCAGTTCCCAAATTTTTCTATAATGAACATGAATGAATTACTTTTATAATCAAAGCAAAGAAAATCTTAGAAAATCTATTGGAAGTTCAATTCATTTTGGAATGGGAGAAATGCTGTATTTAAAGAAGCAGTAAAAGCGTAAAACCTTTCAGAAGGTGCACTTGCTTCATAGCCCCAAGAGGGAAAAAGTGGCTATTTCCCAGCAAAGCTGAGCAAACCCAGCTGACTTTGCTGACAGGTGCTGACACCTGGTTCTAGAACAAGGATCTTAGAGTTAAAAAGCAAAGAATTTTTGGTGGCAGCCATCTGTCTGGTGGTCATCTGAGGGAGGTGGTTACTCAACTCTCATTTCTAGTTGTTGAGAGGTCAAGCCCGGCTAGGACTCAGAGCCCTCCTGCATCCCAGCCACCTTCCACCATGACATGTTCATCCTTCCCCAATGGAGACCTCACACTGAAGCAGGTGCAGCAGCAGCAAGTGGCTGTCGGCAGCTCTCCCCACTTCCCCACGTGAGAAGGCAGAGCCAGGTGCTAAGCAAGGACCCAGCTGGGCTGAGAGCATAGGACAGGGTGTTTAAAAAGCAGCTTCCACAGATAGAAGCAGTCAGGTCTGGGAAGCGGGGTAAAGGAGGACGAAGAGGAATAGCAGTACACCGGGGAGGGAGCCGAATACTTTCTGTTTCCCAAGGACTTTTTTGTCCAGTCCTCCACCACTGACTCAGGGAGCATTGGTAACTCCATTGTGCAGAGGAAGGGGGACAGAGAAATTAAGAGCTTTGCTCAAGCCCCACAGCTAGAGTGAAGAGAAAAGCTACCACATGTGTACTTTATTTTGGGCATCACCGAAGCAAATGTTTCAATAGCAGTGAGGACCATGGCAAATTGGAGAGCCCCAGCTACAACAGGGCTAGTTCTCAGCTCAGCGATTGTGCCATGCTAGGATGCAGGTCCATGGTTGCCAGATCCTCTAGACTTTTCTGTGAGGTGTCTCGATTTCTGAATGTTGGTTTACTTTTTAAAATATTAGGCTGGGGACGGGCGTGGTGTCTCATGCCTGTAATCCCAGCACTTTGGGAGGCTGAGGCAGGCAGATCACTTGAGGTCAGGAGTTCGAGACCAGCCTGGCCAACATGGTGATACCCCATCTCTACCAAACAATACAAAATTTAGCCAGGTGTGGTGGTGTGCACCTATAATCCCAGCTACTTGGGAGGCTAAGGTGGGAGAATCGCTTGAACCTGGGAGGTGGAGGTTGCAGTGAGCTGAAATCATGCCACTGCACTCCAGCCTGAATGACAGAGTGAGACCCTTACTCAAAAAAATAATAAATAAATAAAATATTAGATTGGTACAAAAGTAATTGTGGTTTTTGCTATTAAAATAATTGGAGAGGTGTTCTCTCTGACCTACAGATGCCTTTATTTTATTAGGTTGGTATAATAACTAACCTAATAAAATATTAGGTTGATATAATAACTAACCTAATAAAATAAAAGCATCTGCAGGTCAGAGAGAACACCTCTCCAGGCCAAGCGTGCCCAGTCAATGTGTGTCCTCAGCCTCAGAGGCTGCCTGGATTGCTGGCTTGCCTGGTGGAGCTACTTGCATGTGCTGCCTGGCCATGGTTCTGGAGTTTCGGGCTCCCATGGAGTAGAGGTGACACTTCCCAATGGGCTGGGGAGCTAACTCCAGAGAAATAAGAAAAGCTATACAGGATTTCAGGTTACCAACCAGGGAAGAACACAGACTGGAATCAGATTAGATTTAGGAAACCAGAGAGCTGTATTTGGTACCGAGTTTCTCTGACAACACATCCTTTCTTCTCTTAGGCTGTGAGTAAGCAGACACTCATTAAGCGATGACTATACATCCACTTAAATTGTTCCAGACCCTGGGGATAGAGTGAGGAACAGAACAGAAAGAATCGCTGCTCTGACTGAATTTACAATTTCATGGGAAAAGACAGAAACTAAACAAGCGCCTGATCCCACAGAGGGTGAAAAGTGCTGTAAGGAAATATTAACCGGGATGAGGAAGGCAGGGCGGGCTGGATAGTGATGGCCTTGCCGAGCAGGTGGGATTTGGACAGGGACCTGACTTCAACAGCAGGCCATGTAGATTTCTGGGGAAGAGCGGCCTAGGCACAGGAACAGTAGGTGCAGAAGCCCTGAGGGGAGGATGTATGACCTGCTGCAGGAACAGCCATGAGCCAGGACAGCTGGAGCAGGGAGGGGTGGGAGAGAAGGTGAGGTCAGAAGAGGGGAGCAGATAAGGAAGGGGACCTGGTCTTGCAGGGCTGTGTTGGCCACAGTCAAGACAGGTTCTGCAGATAGACAGTAATGAGATCTGCCCCTGCCCTCAAGGGGTGTGCAGCCTGACCCTGTGCCTGGCTGTATCCCATTCTCACCCACCTACCTGTACTACCTGTGTGTACTCAGCATCCTAAATTCTCACACTCCCAGTGGCTCACAGCTCTCTGGCTGCAGGTGGGACAGTGCAGCTGGGGGGCCCCATTCAGCACTGGGGCATTCCCTGGGTCTAGAGAGAAGAGCAGAAATAAGGAAAAGCCTGTACTGGCTGCCCGTTTTAGGGCCAATCACATAGGACCCCAGGGTTCAGTGGCCATCTCTGCTTCACAGACTGACAAAGGGCAGGAATTGGGGCCTTCCCATTGGACCTGGAGGATTTTGTATTAGCATATCCATGCAACAAGGATTTACTGAGTAATTCCTGAGCACTGGGCCCTATGCTAGTGATTGGGGGATCCACAGGTGAACAAGATGAGCTGCAAATGACCCTCCCCACAGAGAGCAACAGCCCTGAGGGGAACACAGGCAAGCAAACAGGCCATTAGAGCACAGTAGGTAAGCTCCATGATGGAAACAGAACGGTAGACTCTGGGCAGTGGTGTGCTAGTAAATGTTTAACAACCAGCTCTCCAGCAACATACCTGTGTATGTCCATACGCTCATGGATTTTACTGACCTAAAGGATTATAGCATATAATTTATAAATGATCACAAAATATACAACAGTGTTTACTGTAAATTCCACATAATCAATTGACTTTCACAGTACGTAATTTTTGCCAAACATCTGGTCTGTGGACAAGCTATCGTTATAATTGATGAGCAGGTATTGTTCTAATGGGATCTTGGTTGATATTATTTATGTTAATAAGACAAAAGCAAAATTTAAGTGAATGTCAGAACTTTGCTTATTTGTCAGTGCTTCTTTGCTGAATTGGATAATAGTTTTTGGAAACCGAAAGAATATTTCCTCGATTGTTTCATGCTATTCACAATGTAACAGCTACTTGTAAGTTTAACCTGCATCATTAACATTTTCTCCACTACTTCTTTAAGTTTAGATAATCAATGCAACAACAAATCGATCTCTGATTTATAGCATTTGCCAGTCTTCATGGTGTAAATAGTCCCAAAAGCTACCACTGAACACAGATTTGGGAAGAGATCCACAGTATCCTACAAGTTATATAGTGCTTCCGCCACGTGGATACAAGAGCTGTAAATGATCTCAACAGTGTAAGTGATAGGAAAATACAGTAAAATAATTAGGAAGTGATGAGCTTTAAGTATTTGTTACCATAGCTGAAAGTTTAATAATGGCTGAATTTAACAACCAGCTTGCAAAATTCTTGAAAATTTAACTATCATTTCTTGAGAGGTACATTGGTGAGGGCTCTGGGGCACAGTAGTGAGACACTAACCTAAACACTAGGGGGTCAGGGCAGCTGAAATCAAAGGGGCAGGGCTTATGGGACCAGATGTCCAGGCAAAGGAAACATCATATAATGCAGTAAACTTTAGAGGGGTCAGGGCAGCTGAGACCAAAGGGCCAGGCCAAATGGGACCAGATGTCCAGGCAAAGGAAACATCATATAATGCAGTAGAGAACATGTTATCTCTGGGCCAGGTGCGGTGGCTCACGCCTGTAATCCCAACACTTTGGGAGGTTGAGGTAGGTGTATCCCCTGAGGTCAGGAGTTCGAGACCAGCCTAACCAACATGGTGAAACCCATCTCTACTAAAAATACAAAATTAGCCATGTGTGGTGGCGCATGTCTATAATCCCAGCTACTTGGGAGGCTGAGGCAGGAGAATCGCTTGAACCCAGAAGGTGCAGGCTGTGGTGACCTGAGATCTCGCCACTGCACTCCAGCCTGGACAAGAGTGAAATTCCATCTCAAAAAATAATAATAATAATAATAAATAAAAATTTAAAAAGAGAATATGTTATCTCAGCAGCTGAGATAGAGAGAGTAGGTTCTTTTTCAAGAAAAGGCCTTGAATTTGGGCAAATGCTGAACTGCTAGGTCCAGGGTGTCTGGTGGCCCTGAGGCTTTACAAGAAGGGGGAAATTACTGTGCATAGTACAATAACTTCCATTACTTGAGGGAGGGAGGAGGATGGAGAGCTCTCCAGGGAATCCGGGTGGGGAAAGCGGAGGAGGGAAAGGAAAGAGAGAGCTGAGTGCTAGGCACTGCACAGTGGAACCCCGGCCTGAAACAGCTCCTCCCTCAAACTTTGGGAAAAGCTGCACCACAAAGAGGAAATCACTTGAAGAGTTAAATTTTTTGCAAAAAAATGCAGCAAAAGGGCCAAGGGTTGTGTTGGAGCTGCTGCACACACAGGCCCAAAAGTGAGAGAGCATGCTGTACCCTGAGAGCTAAAAATGATTCAATCCCAAGCCCCAGGTGTGAGGTGGGGAGTGGGGGACAGACGGAGCCTCCAGAAGCCAGTTGGACAGTGACAGGTCCTGCCCTGTGCAGATCAAGGCCCCACATACTTCTGTCCCAAGCACGGTTCTGGGCTTCTTTGCCTCTCCTCTGTGGTTACCCCAGGTGTGGGTACCCAGCAACTAATCCCCACATCGGAGTCAGATGCCCCTGCTGAACAGATCTTGATCCCCCGTTCTTGACCCCAAACAGTCTTCCCAAGGACACAGAGGCTGTGGCATGACAGGACTCAAGCAAGGCTGCCTCTGAGGAGGCCATGAACACCTGCTCCTTTGCCAACAATTACCTTAAATGGGTATCAGGGGCTCCCAATTGAGGACAGCCAAGATTTTCCCCCAGCTGCGGCATGTCCTCTCCTTGGACCCTTGAAGTTCACCCCACGGTGACACAGCTGGCTCCGGGCAGTGACTAACTAGGGTTTGGACAAGTCTTTCCATGGTGGAGCAATGAAGCCTTGGAAAAATTCCACTCCTTCTGTAACGGGGAGTTTTCTTCCTCCGTCTGCAGTTGGCTCATCCTAAAGCCACAGAATATCCTCACCTTCCTCTTCCCCATTTTCTAAAGCCCCTAGACATCCTGCCCCGGTAGGAAAAGGAGAACAGCTCCTGCAAGGTCCAGAATCCAGCTATTAGGGACTCTGCCATTCTGCTCCTAGGCTCGTGTAAATCTCCTGCCTTCCAGGGGCTAGAGGTACAAGGCCTGACACTCTGTATTCCCATCCCCAGAAGCCCATAGTCCAGTGAGCTTGGGGGACAGACAAGGAAATTAAAAGTTGCAATGCAACATGACACATGCTGTAGTAGAAATAAGCCCAGGATCCTCTGGGGGGATGGAGGAAGGGGCATCTAATCCAGCCTGGGTGGGTTTGGAAAGGCTGCCCAGCGCTGATGGCAGGTGATGTAGAATATGATGCTCAGTCGAGCTAGCCTAGCTGAGAAGCAGTGACAGGACATTTGAGAGAGATGGGATAGCATGTGCAAAGACGAGAGAATGAGATACATTTAGGGTCTTATGAGTTGGTTGGTATGGGGAACTATATTAATGTTTACATTCTGGCTAGGCGCAGTGGCTCACGCCTGTAATCCCAGCACTTTGGGAGGCCAAGGCGGGCAGATCACTTGAGGTCAGGAGTTTGAGACCAGCTTAGCCAACAAGGTGAAACCCTGTCTCTACTAAAAATACAAAAAATTAGCTGGGCATGGTGGCAGGTGCCTATAACCCCAGCTACCCAGGAGGCTGAGGCAGGAGAATTGCTTGAGCCCGGGAGGCAGAGGTTGCAATGAGCTGAGATCGTGCCACTGCACTCCAGTCTGGATGACAGAGCAAGACTCTGTCTCAAAAATAAAAATAAATAATAAAGTTTAAAAAGTTTACATTTCTACACCTTGACTAACTCAGTCATGGCCATGGAACTTACTTGGCCAGTGAAATTTGAACAGCAGTGACACTCATGTCATTTCCAGAAAAAATTGCATGCTTCAAGAGCCAGTGTCCTCTTCCCCACCTCTGCAATAGTGAAAGCTCATGTCAAGAGAGAGCTTCCATCAGCCTAGATCCCTGATTGCCAATACTGCATAAAGACCCCTGCTGGTCTGCAATGGACATATAGTGTGAGCAAGAAACGAACTTGGTGGCTCATTTGTTACTGCAGCATAGCCTAGCCTGGTCCTAACTGATATCATTAGCATGGCTAAAATAGAGGCTCATATTGGGGAATGTCAGGCAGTAAGCCCACACATACACGCAGCCCACCAGTTTCCCTACTGCTTTCTCCAGATCTTAGATAGCAGCACAGGCTGTAATTCAGTGGGTTAGAAATCCAGTTCTGTTATTTACTAACTCTCTGACCTTGGGCAGTTTAGTTAATCTCCTTAAACCTAATTTTATCTATCTGCAAATTGAGAATGACAATGAAAATAACATTGCCTACTTCATAGGGCTGTTACATTTGAATAAGTAAGTGATGAACCTTCTCTATCCCCAAGCATGATCCTTGGACCACCTGTTCCCAGTTACCTGTGTGCTTATTTAAAATGCAAACTCCCCCACCCCCACGCCCACCCCAGGGTGATGGGTCCCAGAAGTCTGCACTTTTAGAAAGCACTCCAGGCAGTCTTTTGCATGCTGAAGTTAAAGAACCACTGCCCTTGAGGTTTTGATGGACAATCAAACCTCCACACTGAGGAAGGAGCATTGACTGGAGACTGGCTTTTTCTGATGCCAGGAATCTTCAGCCTGTAGCTGACCAGGTGGTCATAGCACCTCCAATAAAAGCCTGAGGCTTCAAAGTCCAGCATGACTTAGAGATCAGGTAACCCTGCCTGTGGAGCCAGCTCAGTGTGCACAATTCTGGCAGTATTCAGCCCTCTGCAGCCTGCCTAGATCAGCTGCAGAACTTTTTATGAGGTGTTCACTGAGGGAGGGCCTTCAGCAATGCAGCCCTCCCCACTCTTCCAACTCCTGGTCCTGGCTTGGTGAGGCTTCCCTCCTGAGGACATAGAACTGGTTCCTCTTCCTGCAGAACGAGGCTGATGGCTGCAAAAACTAGACCCTGATAAGTAGCCTTCTTACCAGAGTTGCCCAAAGGTCTCAGAGGGGAAAGATGCTTCAAGTGTATTACTGCACAGACCGGTCCCAGCTATTCTCCTTGCCAGCAGCTCCTCCCAGCACATGCCATGGTCATCTGACTCTTCCTACACACTGCTCCAAATCCCACACATGCTCAAGAACACACCGTGGCTCCCTATGGCTTCCTGGCCTTGGAATTGGCCAATGAAATCTGAACAGCAGTGACACCCATGTCATTTCAAAAAAAAAAAAAAAATGCGTGCTTCCAGAGCCAGTGTCCTCTTCCCCACCTCTGCAATAGCGGAAGCTCATGTCAAGTGAGAGCTTCCATCAGCCTAGATCCCTGATTGCCAATACTGCATAAAGGCCCCTGCTGGTCTGCAATGGACATATAGATAGTGTGAGCAAGAAATGGACTTGGTGGCTCATTTGTTACTGCAGTGTGGCCTAGCCTGGTCCTAGGCTGATACCATCAGCCACACTGATACCACACTGATACCATCAGTGTGGCAAATTTATTCTCAGTTTGCACTTGGCTTTCATGGGTCTTTCTCTCACTTTCAGACACCTCCAGACTATATCGCACCTTGCCTTTCCAGTCCTTAATGTCACCACTTTCCCAGCCATGTTCTTGCTTCTCTCCCTTGCCCCTGTTACTCACCTGGGAGGGGAGTTCAGGCCAATCCCCTGTCAGGGATGCTGCTGGTGTCCCACCAAGACCCCCTTTACCATATCCTAAAACAAGGTACAAAGGCTGGCCCTCTTGCCTCAAGGAAGCCCCAATCCATAGTGCCTTCCACACCCCTAGGGCTCCCAGGTGGAGCCAGGCTGAGATTATTCTGCAGCTGAGCCTCATCCTTACTTTACTTCTTCCCCTATCCTATCTCGTTTTACCCACTTCCTCCAGACCACCTTCTCCAGAGAGAGCTTCCTTATCAACTACTGGCACAAGGATCCCTATCTCTGGCTTTGCTCCCGGGAAGCCTGATCTAAGACTCCCCTGTCCCTTGGAAGATTACCTTGAGGCAATGGTAGTAGCCTCCAACTACTCTTCCAGGCAGGCTACCCCAGAGATCACAGAAGGCTTGAAGACCAAATTAAGGTACTTATTTAATCCATTTTAAACACACAGAGGCTGGGCGCGGTGGCTCACACCTGTAATCCCAGCACTTTGGGAGTCCGAGACGGGTGGATCCTGAGGTCAGGACCATCCTGGCTGACACAGTGAAACCCCATCTGTACTAAAAATACAACAAAAACAACAAAAATTAGCCAGGCATGGTGGTGGGCGCCTGTAGTCTCAGCTACTCGGGAGGCTGAGGCAGGAGAATGGTGTGAACCTGGGAGGCGGAGCTTGCAGTGAGCCGAGATCGTGCCACTGCACTCCAGCCTGGGCAACAGAGCAAGACTCCATCTCAAAAATAAATAAATAAATAAATAAATAAATAAATAAATAAATAAACACACAGCAAGAAGCAAGGGCAAAGAGATAGAACAGGTGAACACACCTAGGATAGGTGCAAGCAGGTGAAACGATCACCTCCCTGAATCCTTGGTTACGTAACATTCTCCTGTCTGATTCTCCCTCTGCCACATCAGCCTTCCCACCTGACAGTGTGGTTACAAAGGTAGAGACTGAGGGCATGCAAAGGGAATTGCTGGACAGAGGTGTATGTAGTCAGCATACAAACTGGCTCTACTGGGAAGTCGGGGGCAGGTACACCTGGTCACACCGCCACACCCCAATTAACCTGCTGAGCACCCGTGGGTCTTACCTGTTTCTGGGACTTTAAGAGTGTCACCACTGGGTGGCCAATTTAGAAATGACATTGCTTTGATCTAGAGAAGACATGATCTATGCCTTATAAATATTTAGGGTTTACTTGGTCTTTTTTTTTTTTTCTTTGAAACAGTCTTGCTCTGTCACCCAGGCCGAAGTACAATGGCACAATCTCGGCTCACTGCAACCTCCATGTCCTGGGTTCAAGTTATCCTCCTGCCTCAGCCTCCCGAGTAGCTGGGATTACAGGCATGTGCCACCACGTCTGGCTAATTTTTGTATTTTTAGTAGAGACGGGGTTTCGTCTTGCTGGCTAGGCTGGTCTCAAACTCCTGGCCTCGTGTGACCCACCCACCTTGGCCTCCAAAAGTGTTTGATTACAGGCGTGAGCCACTGTGCCCAGCCTACTTGGTCTTTTTATTCCTCTGTCTATAACTAACATTCCCATTTCTTTTATCATTTTATCTATACTCAACCCAGAAATTCCTCTTATTCTGTGTCTATCTCATAAGTTACTTGCCTCTGTACTTAATTTTTCTCATTTTCTGGAGCAGAAGCAAATATAAAAAATTCTTCAAGAATGCAGCAAACACAAGGCACTCCTCTTTTCCAGAATTATCATCTCCTACCCATAGGTCCCTACAGTTCTTCGCATCACCCCTAATATAAAACCACATTCTTCAGTAGCAGAACTATGATTCAGCCGAGGACTGGGGCACTGGTCTGTCTGCCTCCAACTCTCATGCATGCTCCATTGTGCCACGCAGCCTGCTGTTTATGAACATGGCAGGGGTAGCGATCCTGTCATTTTTATCTCTGTATTTTATGCTCTCTCTCTCTCTCTCTCTCTCTCTCTCACACACACACACACACACACACACACACACAGTTTGTCCATGGTGGGCCCTCCAGTGACACTTGTGGGGTTCAGTTGAAATCCACCAGCACCAAAGAAAGAGCACAGCCAGGCTGCTTTCCTGCATCACCATCCTTTGGCTTAAAAAGCCGGAGGGCAGAAGCAGACTTCCTCCTGTAGCAAAGCTCTGAACAAGGTCTGTGCTAAGTCCTGGTTGGATTCGCCAGGGTCTAGGTTCATATTGTGAACACCAGGGTTGACGTCTCCCCAGATTTGGGAAAGCTAAATCTTGTCCCCACATGACTATAAAACCAGGAGCCTCTGTCGCTTTCTGCCCAACCAACTCCTCACAGCACTAAAGCTGAGCTTTTATATGTGAAAGGTGCTGGCCAAATTCCCAGAATAGCCACAGCAGGAAATTGAATAGCAAGATAAAAGTGTAACCATGTATTATACCCTTAATAGTGGAGGGAGAGAATGATACAACCATCAGTTCCAACCCATACAGAAGTCACTAGAGACAGGGATTTGAGAAGGAGTCCTCTGCTCTATTTAATAACTCTTCCCACTCCTCAAAAGGCACAGGGGGCTGGGTGCAGTGGCTCATGCCTGTAATCCCAGTACTTTGGGAGGCCAAGGCGGGAGGATTCCTTGAACTCAGGAGTTAGAGACCAGACTGTGCAACATAAGGAGACCTCGTCTCTACTAAAAATTTTTTTAAAAAAATTATTCAGGTGTGGTGGTGCATGCCTGTAGTCCTAGCTACTCAGGAGGCTGAAGCAGGAGGATCACTTAAGCCCAGGTGGTCGAGGCTGCAGTGAGCCATGACTGTGCCACTGCATTCCAGCCTGGGAGACAAAGCGAGATCCTGTCTCAAAAAAAAACAGAGACATGTTCTTGTTCTAGACTTTCTGTATTGCCCTACATCATCACCCCTCCTGGTTAGTAGGGAAACCTCTCCCCTTTGCCCCCTTTCTCTTATTTTCTCTATTATTTAGAATGCTTTTGGATGATGATAATTATTATTATTGATGATGATGATAGTAGCTAATATTTATTGGGTCATAGTTTGGGTTACCAGGAAGTGACTCTGAGAACAGCATTCAGGTTGTACAGTTGGGATCAACACCTGTAGAAAGAGAGGGGAAAAAAAGTGGGATTCAGCAAAGGGAGAAGTTTTAGAGGAGACAAATCAGTGAAACGAGTTTGCCTCCCCACGTTTCCCCAGTGTGTAGTTGAGACTGTTGTCTGAGCCAACACATGTTCACATTGTTCCCAGGTTCTCCCATCATGTAATGAGAATAATTCTATCATTTCTCACAAGGCGAGAGGGACACAAATGAAGAAAAGACCAAAACACAGAATTTGAAGCCAGTCTGCCTGGGTTCAAATCCCAGCTCTCCCTTGTACCATCTAGGTGATCTAGGGCAAGATGCTTGATCCTTCTGAGCCTCCATTTCCTCGTCCACTAAATGAGAATACTGTTACTAGCTACCGCACAAAGTTGTTGTGAAGATGAGTGAGGGATTATATGTAAAACACTGGGTGGAATGCCTGGCTCACAGGAAGCACTATGTGTTGGCTGTGGGACTGTACGGCCTTCAGTATTGAAGAAATCACTCATCATGCAACTCTCCTTCACTTATGCAACCACACACACACAACACCCACGTTACACACATACACATGCAACACGTGCAGCATACAGCACGTACTCAACAAAACATACACAGTACACATACATAAAGCAGCAAAGCCTTGTTTCATAAGTTGTCCTTTTTTTCTTTTTTTTTGAGAAGGAGTCTCGTGCTGTCGCTCAGGCTAGAGTGCAGTGGCGTGATCTCGGCTCACTGCAACCTCTACCTCCACCTCCTGAGTTCAAGCGATTCTCCTGCCTCAGCCTCCTGAAGAGCTGGGACTACAGGTGTGCACCACCATGCCCGGCTAATTTTTGTATATTAAGTAGAAACGGGGTTTCACCATGTTGGCCAGGCTGGTCTTGAACTCCCGACCTCAAGTGATCCACCTGCCTCCGCCTCCCAAAATGCTGGGATTACAGGCATGAGCCACTGCGCCCAGCCTCATACTCTGTTCTTTGTGTACTTTGTGGTTTCATTCCATTTTAAAGCCAAATCTCTGCTAATACACACCCATGATGCTCATTGTTCTTCCCCATTGCATGTCATTGTGACATCATGCAATGCCATGATAAGGCGATTTACCAATTGCACATTCTAATTGCTCTCAGAGCATAATATTCATTAGCAATTTTCTTTCATAAGCTTCTTAGCAATAATGTTTCCTCCAATGCAGTATAGCATTCAAAGGTGGAACTTTGGAGTCAGATGAACTTGGGTTGAAATCCTGACATTACTACTTACCAGCTTTGTGACTTGAGGCAAGCTGCTAAACTTCTCTAGCTATAACATTATTCTCATTTTATCAATCAGGAAACAAAGAACCAGAAAGACCAAATCAGTAATCGTGAGTCTCATATTGTTATCTATAAAAAAGCTGCACCTTGCAAGGAATGAAAAGATAAGGTGTGTACCACATTTAAATTGGTGCTTGCCACATGCTAATATATGCTAATAAAACATTTTGTAATGATAAAAGTGATGGTAGTGATGAATGGCTTATTTCTTTATTTTATTTTATTTGAGTCGGAGTCTCACTCTGTTGCCCAGGCTGGAGTGCAGTGGTGTGATCTCAGCTCACTGCAACCTCCGCCTCCCAGGTTCAAGTGATTCTCCTGCCTCAGCCACCCGAGTAGCTGGGATTACAGGCATCCACCACCACACCCAGCTAATTTTTGTATTTTCAGTAGAGACAGGGTTTCACCGTGTTGGCCAGGCTGGTCTCGAACTCCTGGCCTCAAGTGACCTGCTTGCCTCAGCCTCCCAAGGTGCTGGGATTACAGGCGTGAGCCACTGCACCCGGCCAATGGCTTATTTCTTTAAATAGAAAAAAGAAATGCATTGAATAAATCATTGACAGTTAATGGGACTCTCTGGTGATGAACCTGGGTTCTACCCATGCCTGGAGGCTCCAGGTCCCATAAGCTTCCACCCAGCATTGTGTTGTAACTGTACCATTTCCCTTCATGAAATTTGAGAGGTGATGTTTTGACATTATTTCATTTTGTTTCATTTCCTCTTGATGGGTGGGCTTAACCTGTTTCTCAATTTAGGCAGAGCAAAAGGGAGAAGTATTTTAAATTGCCATGATAGTCCAAGTTGGTCTTACCTTCAGGCCCCTGAGCACGAGCCCAAAATTCTCTCCAACTCTCCTACGGTATTTGGGTATTTTCCAATTCCTAGAAATGCCAGATATAAATAACCCTTTCCTTAGTTTCCTCCAAAACTCTCCCTTTCTCCTTTCCTTTTGCCTCTTGGCATTTGGGTACCATAACAATGAATTTTGAAATAATACTTTAATCACATTTTATATTCTTGGCCAGGCTCAGTGGCTCATGCCTATAATCCCAACATTTTGGGAGGCCCCATCTCAAATTAAAAAAAAAAAATTACATTCTTATGGTGCATTTCTGTTCACTAAATGCATTCATATCCACTCTTCACAGTTGGCAGTAAGGAAGATAGTGTAAGTTCCATTTGATGGATGATACAGCTGAGGTTCAAAGAGGTGAACCCACGTGCCCTCGATGCTGGCCTTCAAGCCAACACCATTTCCTGCTGCAGCAAGAAGACAGTCTTTACTGACAGACACATTTATTTTTATTATGGTAAAATATACATAACAAAGTTTACTGTTTGAAACTTTTAAAGTCTACAGTTGAGTGGCATTAAGTACATTCGCATTGTTGTGCAACTCTCATCACCATCATCTCCAGAATGTTTCATCTTCCCAAATTGAAACTTCATACTCATTAAATACTCACTCCCCATTTTCCCCTCCCCTCGGCCTCTGGCAATCACCCCTCTACTTTCTGTCTGTTTGAATTTGACTACTCTAGGAAGCTCACATGAGTAGAATCATAAGCTATTTTTCCTTCTGTGTGATAGACACTTTTGCAGCAAGATTTCTGGAGGAAGATGCCAAGATTCTTTCTTCCACTGCATTTGTTTTGGCTCATATTGCCCGTTGGCCAGAAAGAGTGTCTATATCCTAAAGCGGCCCACCTTCAGGGACCTGAACACCATTCAGGCACAGAGTCGGGCTTTGATAGACAAGCCCTGCAAAGCAGATGTTTTCTAACATTTTGCATTGACTGTTGTTCATTCTTCTTGTCTTGCAGGTAATTACTTGAGTTGTCATTATCAGAGTAGAAAAAAAAATGCTCCTGGAGAAGAATATAAGGTATTTCCGTGTTCCACCGCTGAGGTTCCCAAAGCCCTCTCTCTCCTCCATTGGCGTGTGTGTGTGTGTGTGTGTGTGTGTGTGTGTGTGTGTGTGGTTTGGGGGAGTTTTTTATTTTAAAACACTCTGTGATTTACTTCAATTCATCTTTTGCCCAGAAAGCCAACACAGCTGCAAATCCGTTCTGCCCAGAAAGCCTTCTAGCCTTCCCAGAGGCCTCTTTGCCTGTTCAGTGGACACTTCCGTCCCTCTCAGGCCGGCTTCTCCCAGCCCACTGCCCCCCGGGCTGCCTGCCCAGCTCCTGAGAGAAGGCACTGCTCCCTGGAAGTGGCCGAGCCTTCTCTATGGATTTCTGTAACTTGGAGAAGCGCAGGCTCCCCTGGGGCACCCCTGCTCCTCCTCCCCTCCTTGGGCTTCCCCCTCAGAAAGCTGGCTCTGCTGCCCGCTGGTAAACGGACTGGCTGTCACCATGGCAACAGCCTGGCCTGGAGCCGGATGACGCCAGACCTGACTCCCCTTCCCAACCTCACCCAACTCTGTTTGTTTGGGCTCCAGCTGCTTTTGTTGGGCTTTGTTTTGCTTGTCAGTTTGAAACAGCTCCTTTGCTGATTGGCTGCAGGGGGCTGAGATCCGAATCCCTGGGATACTGAGAAGTCCTGCTCCCTGCCCGGGCAGGGTTTCCTGGCACTTTGGAGTATTTCCCCCATCACAGTAACAAGGCCTAAAGAAGCCCTGTTTGATGAACACACACTTGCCCTTTAGGCAAGGCAGAGCCCATAGAGAGACTGAGCATCAGATAATCTGTGAAATGCCCCAATCTGCACACCCAACAAGAACCCTATCACTAAACCATGTTGGCTTCCCGAATGCCACACTTGTGACTAAAGGCCAGCCTGTTACTTGATAAAACGAAAGAAGCATACCATGTCAGAGAGCAGTCCAGGTGTGTAGAAACATCAAAAATAAATAAATCCAGGAAGAAAAACAAACAAGTATGTGGATGTTAAGGAACAGCTTTAGGTGAATGTGGTGACAGACATCCAAGTAATGTTCACCTCAAATTTTGGGGTGGTTTTGCTGCTTTTATTCGGATAACTGTAGAAGCAAGAATCCAGAATATTTGTGACTAATTTGAAAACATGGCGTCTACCCTTTTGCTATTTCATCGGGTTTTTATCTCCCAAATAATCAATTTTAATAATTTGCTTGGTCCTCGATAATCCTGAATTTACTCCCAGGACTATCAGGGAACAAGCAAGTTATTGCTGTGCTTAAAATTTTTGTTTTGTTTTGTTTCACTCTGTCGCCCAGGCTGGAGTGCAGTGACGCGATCTCGGCCCGCTGCAACCTCCGCCTTCTCCCTCAGCCTCCCAAGTAGCTGGGATTACAGGCACCCGCCACCACGCCCAGCTAATTTTTGTATTTCTGGTAGAGATGTTGGCCAGGCTGGTCTCAAACTCCTGGCCTCAATGGATCCGCCCACCTCGGCCTCCCAGAGTTGGGATTACAGGCATGAGCCACCGCACCCAGCCATCTGCTTTGAGATACAAAAAAGATGTTTCTGGCCTGGCGCGGTGGCTCACGCCTGTAATCCTAGCACTTTGGGAGGCCGAGGCAGGCGGATTGCCTGAGCTCAGGAATTCAAGACCAGCCTGGGCAACATGGTGAAACCCCATGTCTACTAAAATACAAAAGAAATTAGCTGGGCGTGGCGGCGTGCACCTGTAGTCCTAGCTACTCAGTAGGCTAAGGAAGGAGAATTGCTTGAACTCGGGAGGCAGAGGCTCATGCCACTGCATTCCAGCACTCCAGCCTGGATGACAGAGCAAGACTCTGTCTCTCAAAAAAAAAAAAAAAAAAAAAAAAAAGATGTTTCTTGTGCATCAACCTTTGAAGCTGTGTAACAGCAGCCTCAGCTCCTCATCTGTAAAATGGGGATAAATAATACCAACAGCCAGGTTATAAAGGGCTTAGCTCAATTTGCATACTTACTGAGCTACTATCATCAGCAACTCCCACCTATGCCTTTTTTCTGATGATCCCGACACTTTTCATAAGAACTGCATCATAGGCCGGGTGCGGTGGCTCATGTCTCTAATCCCAGCACTTTGGGAGGCCAAGGCGGGTGGATCACCTGAGGTCAGGAGTTCAAGACCAGCCTGGCCAACATGACAAAATCCCATCTCTACTAAAAATACAAAAATTAGCCGGGTGTGGTGGTGGGCACCGATAATCCCAGCTACTTGGGAGGCTGAGGCAGAAGAATCACTTGAACCCCAGGGGGCAGAGGTTGCAGTGAGCTGAGATCGTACCACTTCACTCCAGCCTGGGCAAAAGAGCAAAACTCTGAAAAAAGAAAAAGAAAGAAAGAAGGAAAGAAGGAAAAGAAAAGAAAGGAAAAGAAAGGAAAGGAAAGGAGAAAGAAAGAGAGAGATCGCATCATTGCCGGGCACAGTAGCTCATGTCTGTAATCCCAGCATTTTGGGAGGCCAAGGCAGGCAGATTACCTGAGGTTGGGAGTTCAAGACCAGCCTGACCAACATGCAGAAACCCCGTCTCTACTAAAAATACAAAATTATCCAGGCATGATGGCGCATGCCTGTAATCCCAGCTACTCAAGAGGCTGAGGGAGGAGAATTGCTTGAACCCAGGAGGTGGAGGTTGCAGGGAGCCAAGATTGTGCCATTGCACTCCAGCCTGGGCAACATGAGCAAAACTCCATCTCAAAAAAAAATAAAAAATAAAAAATAAAGAATCACATCATTGAGTCAGTTAACACATATTTATTAAACACTCTAATGGGTCAGCACTGTGCTAGGCACTAGGGATAAAATGATAGGCAAGAAAGACACAATCCCTACCCTTTGGGAGCCTCTGGACTAGTAAGGGAGACAGACAATGGTCAAATAACCACACAAAATGTAAAATTACTTCTGTGCCATGTGAGTGAAGCCATCTCAGACCCCCCAGACCAGTTCATCCTGCCGCTGAATACCACGGAGGATCTCAGTCATTGCTGTAATCAGCAGAAAAATTCCCAGCCAAGTCCTGCCTTCATCCCTGATCTGCAGAATCATGAGCTATAGGAAATCAGTGGCTCTTTTAAGCCTCTCCAAAGTAAAAATAATTGCATCTCTCTTAGGTGCCTAAAGCATTAAGAGGACAATTTTTAAAAAGAGGAAATAAACTGCATTTTAGTCCTTTTTTCTAGTTAGGAAACCAGGGCTGAGGTAGGTTTAGATATAAGAATGCAATGATTTGACCTGCTAAATCCTAAAGCCTAAAGTGAATTCCATCTGCCATCCTGCAGAAACATCCTGGCGGTTTCCTTCAAACCTTGTTTTGCTGAAGAGCGCCCTCTTCTGGCTCGGGACCCTTCTCCAGCCACGCTGCCTCCTGCGGCTGCAGCTTTTGGGATTGTAGGCTATGGCGTCCATTCCTCCACCAAACCTGTACTGAGCACTGAGGCCCTGACAATACAGCCGGAATCAGACACCGGCTCCCCCACCTGTGGGGCTGACAATCATTTGAACTGAGTCTCTGAGATTGCAGGGCAAGCACCGTGACTCTCATTTAACAAAGAAGGAACTGAGACAGGGAAGGTGGCTAAAACTTTGCTATGTTATTGATGATTTACCGCTGGATTTTAGGGCTTAGGGAGACAAAGAACCTTCCACTGAACATTAGATTGGGCCCACGTTTCTCACTCTCCAAAACCCACCCTGCCGGTCACCCTCGGTTCCAGACCTCAAGTCCCTTCCATCTTGGGAAGTCTCCTCATGACGCTCCAATGTGCCGTTCTTATTGTCACCTCCGCACTTCCCAAATACCTTTCCATGCCACCTGCCACTTCATCTCTGTAATGACTCTTCTCCAAAGCCCACCCTCAGCTTCCCTCTTCCCTAAGATCTTGTAGCGCCCACTGGAGGGTCCCCTGGTGTCCCTCATACTATGGACTGTAATATACATTTAGAAACAATGTATGGAAGCATTTGGAAAAATATACCTCTTTGTATATGCTGGCCATGGAGGGCAGAGAGTAGTTCCTATCTGACAGGGCTGTTCTTTAACTTAAATGATGAGTTTGAAGCACTTGGCACACAGTAAACACTCAGCACATGATACATATTGTTTAACATGTTCAGTGTGGTTACCTGCTTAAAAAACAGATGGTCCTCATAGCATCTAGTGTCATCTTGCACACATCATAAAGAGACAGAACCCTGCCACCGTGTGGAGAGCAGGGCTCACACAGGAGGTATCATGCCCGAGACCCAGGATATGTTTAGGAATACATAAACATGTTTTCATTTCTTTTGAAAATCAGAAGAAAAAAATTAACTTTTACATTGAAAAAAAGTTTTATTTTTTTTGTTTTGTTTTGGAGTAAGAGTCTCCCTCTATCCCCCAGGCTGGAGTGCAGTGGTGTGATGTCCTCGGCTCACTGCAGCCTCCTCCTCCCAAGTTCAAGCGATTCTCATGCCTCAGCCTTCTGAGGAGCTGGGATTATAGGCGCCCGCCACCACGCCCGGCTAATTTTTTGTATTTTTAGTAGAGACAGGGTTTCACCATGTTGGCCAGTCTGGTCTCAAACTCCTGACCTTAGGTGATCCACCCGCCTTGGCATCCCAAAGTGTTGGGATTATAGGCGTGAGCCACCATGCCCAGCCTGAAAAAAAGTTTTAATATATAATATTAATATATTTTTCTTTATACCAATGTAGTCATAAAATATAATTTTATAATTATATTAATTGTTAATCAATATAATTATTAATTAACTTGACTATTATCAAGTGATTTTTGACAAAAGTGCCAAGACCATTCAATGGGGAAAGGACAGTCTTTTCAACAAATGGTGCTGGGAAAACTGGATATCCACGTGTAAATGAAGTTGGACACTTGCCTAACACCATATGCAAAGATTAACTCAAAATGCATCAAAGACCCAAATGTAAGGCCTAAAGCTGTAAAACTCACCGAAGGAAACACAGGAGATAAGCTTCACAACATTAGATTTGGCAATGATTTTTCTGGATATGACACTTTTATTGCATAAGCAATAAAAGAAAAAATAGACAAATTAGACTTCATGAAAATTTTTAAATTTTGTGCAAGAAAAGACACTAGCAACAGAGTGAAAAAGCAACCCACAAGATGAGATAAAACATTTGCAAATCATATAGCTGATAAAGGATTAATATCCAGAATATATAAAGAACTCCTAAAACTCAACAACAAAAAAGCAAACAACCCAGTTCAAAAATGGCCAAAGGACTTGAATAGACATTTCTCCAAAGAAGATATATAAATGGCTAATAAATAAGCACAAAAGATGTTCGACATCACTAGACATTAGGGAAATGGAAATCAAAACTACAGTGAGATACCACCTCACACCCATTAGGATGGCTACTATTAAAAAAAAACACACAAGACCATGCACAGTGGCTCACGCCTGTAATCCCAGCACTTTGGGAGGCCAAGGTGGGTGGATCACCTGAGGTTGGGAGTTCGAGACCAGCCTGACCAACATGGAGAAACCCCATCTCTACTAAAAATACAAGATTAGCTGGGCGTGGTGGTGTATGCCTGCAATCCCAGCTACTCAGGAGGCTGAGGCAGGAGAATTGCTTGAACCCAGGAGGCAGAGGTTGCAGTGAGCTGAGATCACGCCATTGCACTCTAGCCTGGGCAACGAGAGCAAAACTCCGTCTCAAAAACAAAAAACGAAAACACCACACTCACACACACAGGCTAGGTGCAGTAGCTCATGCCTGTAATCCCAACACTTTGCAAGGCTGAGGCAAGAGGATTGCTTGAGCCCAGGAGTTTGAGACCAGCCAAAGCAACATAGTGAGACCCCATCTCTACAAAAAAAAAAATTAAATTACATTACATTAAAATTAGCCAGGTGTGGTGGTCCATGCCTATAGTCCCAGCTACTCGGGAGGCTGAAGTGGGAGCATCGCTTGAGCCCAGGAGATCAAGGCTACAGTGAGCCATGAGCATACCACTGCACTCCAGCCTGGGCAACAGAGCAAGACTCTCTAAAAAAAATACACACACACACACACACACACACACACACACACACAGAGAGAGAGAAAAAATTACAAACTTTGTCAAGGATGTAGAGAAATTGGAACTCTATGCACTGTTGGTGAGAATGTAAAATGGCACAGCTGCTGTGGAAAACAGTGTGGGGGTTTCTTTTAAAATTAAAAATAAAATTACCATATGACCCCAAAATTCTACCCTGCGTATATACCCCCAAAAACTGAAAGCTGATCTCAAAGAGATATTTGTACACCCATGTTCATAGCAGCATTATTCATAATAGCTAAAATGTAGAAGCAACCCAAATGTCCATCAATGATGAATGGATAAGCAAAACGTGGTGTATATGTATAATGGAATATTATTCAGCCTTAAAAAGGAAAGACATTCCAACACATACTGCAGCCTGAATGAAGCTTGAGGCCATTATACTACGTGATACAAGCCAGTCAGAAAAGGATACCCACTGTATGATTCCACTTATATAAAGTCCCTTAAAATCATAGCAACAGAAAGTAAAATGGTGGATGCCAGGGGCTGGGGAGAGGGAAGAATAAGAAATTACTGTTTAATGGGTACAGGGTTTCAGTTTTAGGAGACAGAGTTCTAGAGACAGACAGATGGTGGGATGGTGGTGACAGCTGCACGACATTGTGAATGTATTTAATACCACTGACCTGGACACTTAAAAATGGTTAAGATGGCAAATGTTGTGTGTATTTTACCACCATATATAAAAAATAGGAAGAAAAAAAAAAAAGGAGGCCTGGTCACAGTGGCTCACACCTGTAATCCCAGCACTTTGGGAAGCCGAGGAAGGCAGAGTGTTTAGCCCAGGAGCTGGAGACAAGGTTTTGTACGAAACCATGTCTGTACAAAAAAATACAAAAATTAGGCAGGCATGGTGGCACACACTTATAGTCGCAGCCACCAGGCCCGATCAGAAAATTTATTCTTTTTTTTTTCTTCTTCTTTTTTGAGACAGTGTTGCTTCGTCACCCAGGCTGGAGTGCAATGGCACCATCTCGGCTCACTGCAACCTCCGACTCCCAAGTTCAAGTGGTTCTCCTGCCTCAGCCTCTCGAGTAGCTGGAATTACAGGCACCCGCCACTACACCCGGTTAATTTTTGTATTTTTAGTAGAGACAGGGTTTCACCATGTTGGCCAGGCTGGTCTTGAACTCCTGACCTCGTGATCCGCCCGCCTCGGACTCCCAAAGTGTTGGGATTATAGGCGTAAGCCACGACACCCACCCCAATTTATTCTTAAGAATACACTCTGCAGGCCGGGCGCGGTGGCTCATGCCTGTAATCCCAGCACTTTGGGAGGCAGAGGCGAGTGGGTGGCCTGAGCTCAGGAATTCGAGACCAGTCTGGGCAACATGGCAAAACCCTGTCTCTACAAAAAATAAAATTAAATTAAAATGAAGAATAAATGTACTAATGCTATCGGAATCCGTATGCCCATTTGCTTTTAGAGAAGATCCTATTCCCCAAGAGTGTGATGTGTTTTACAATTCATGCACGGTGTCTTTATCCCCTCGGTCGAAGATTGTCATATCCTTTAGTGGTCAAGAGGGGGCGCAGCGACTCAACCTAAAGCGTGGAAATCCCAGTGGCCTGTAGATCACAGATGCCGAAATGTGAAAGCCTTGGTCCTGGAATTAGCATTATGGACTTCACCTGGGAGATTGTTAGAGACGCAGAATCTCGATCCTACCCCAGATCTGCCTCAGAATTTGCACGTTAAGAAGATCCCCGGTCGAAGGACAGGCACAGAGGCTCAGGTCTGTAATCCCAGCACTTTGGGAGGCCAAGGCGGGTGGATCAGGAATTCCTGCTGGTCAGGAGTTCGACACACAGCCTGGCCAACATGGTGAAACCTCGTCTCTACTAAAAACACAAAAATTAGCCGGACGTGCTGGTGAGTGCCTGTACTCCCAGATACTTGGGAGGCTGAGGCAGGAGAATGGCTTGAACCCGGGAGGCGGAGGTGGCAGTGAGCCGAGATCACGCCACTGCACTCCAGCCTGGGCGACAGAGTGAGACTTGGTCTCAAAATAAAAAATAAAAATAAAAAAAAGAAGATCCCCGGGGTAATTTATAGACACATTAAAATTTGAGAAGTACTGGTTGAAAGTGTCTAGTCATAGAAAGGGAAGCTTCTTCCTCAAAGGAAAAGAGGGTAGGAAAGGAGCTGGCTAAGGCCTCCCTTGAAGCCCCCAAATGTCCTGTTCCTTCGACCAAGCAACCAACATCAATCAAGATGGAATTGGAGCCACAGGAGAGGGTGTAAAAGCATTTCATTGGTCATAAATGCATAGGCTTGGCCGGGCGCAGTGGTTCACGACTGTAATCTCAGCACTTTGGGAGGCCGAGACAGGCAGATCACTTGTGGTCAGAAGTTCGAGACCAGCCTGGGCAACATGGTGAAACCCCATCTCTACGAAAAATACAAAAATTAGCCAGATGTGGTAGCACGCACTTGTAATACCAGCTACTCAGGAGGCTGAGGCAGGAGAATCACTTGAACCAGGGAAGTGGAGGTTGCAGTGAGCCGAGATGGCACCACTGCACTCCAGCCTGGGGGACAAAGCAAGACTCCGTCTCAAAAAAAAAAAAAAAAGGCATAGGCTTTTTCCATTTCAATAAATGCTTATTGATTGCTTACTGTGTGCTGGGCATCAGGGATACAATTGTGAGCAAAAATCAGACCCTGTTCCTGCCCTCATGGAGCTTTCAGCCTAGTGGGGACACCAAGTGTGTGTAATCCCATAATCACACATAACTACAAACCTTGTCCTTGCTCTGCAGGTTCAGAGAGAGGGCCATGACAGAGTAAAGGGAAAGGGAGTGGGGATGAGGGGCTGCTTTATATGGAATGTTCAGAGAAATCCTCAGAAGAAGTCATCTTTTTGTTTTGTTTTGTTTTCAGAGTTGAGGTGTCACTTTGTCATCCAGGCTGGAGTAAAGTGGTGCCATCATGACTCATTGCAGCCTCCACCTCCAAGCCTCAAGCGATCCTCCCACCTCAGCCTCCCAGCTAGCTGGGACCACAGGTATGCACCACCACGCCTGGATAATTTTGTTTATCTTTTGTAGAGATGAGGTCTCACTGTGTTGCCCAGGCTGGTCTTGAACTCCTGAGCTCAAATGACCCTCCTGTCTCGGCCTCCAAAGTGCTGGGATTACAGGCATGAGCCACCAGGCCTGACCAGGAAGTGAGCTTTAAGCTAGAGATCTGAAGGATGTGTGGGAGTTAGCCAGGAAAGAGTAGAGTTCCTGTGCGGGGGGTGGCGGGGGAGGGGACAGAATGTACAAAGGTCACGCAACAGAGAGGAACATGCTTACTCAAGGAACTGAGAGAAGACAGGCATGGAGTGATGCAAGATGAGGCTGAGACAGAGGAGGGCAGGAAGGGGCAGCTCGATGGGGCCAGGGACCAGAGGACACAGGCTCACCCAGACCTGATTGAGGTAGCCCCCCAGTTCCCAAAGTGACTACTGCATGGTTCTGCCTCCCGGGGGCCCTGCACCAAATGGCCCATGTGGACATCTCACCTCTGTCCTTCCAGTTCCCATTCTCTTCCTATCCTCCCCTGCTCTCCCCGCTACTAATCCTTTCTTTACCTCGTCACCATCAGCTCCTCTATTGCTTATCCTCTTCTCGCTTGCCCTCCCCAGCATCTTCCTCATTCACCCTTTTTTTTTTTTTTTAAGGCAAGGTTTCACTCTGTTGCCCCCAGGTTGGAGTACAGTGGCATGATTGTGGCTCACTGCAGCCTCAAACTCCCAGGCTTAGTTGATCCTCCCAAGTAGCTGGGACTACAGGTGCATGCCACCATGCTGAGCTAATTTTTTTTGTATTTTCTGTAAAGATGGGGTTTCACCATGTTGCCTAGGCTGGTCTTGAACTGCTAAACTCAAGCGATCCACCAGCCTCGGTCTCCCAAAGTACTAGAATTACCAGCATGAGCCACTGCACCCAGCCTCATTTACCATCTCCACCTGCTCCCAACTTTTCCAGGAAATCGAACGTCAGTCTCCAAGCCTATCTTCCCCTGAAAAGAAGATAATCTTTAAGTCAGACACAACCAGCATTCATTGAGAGCTCACCATGTGCTGGGCCCGGCATCACTTTCCACATTTTTTTCATTTAACCCTCACAGCAATCTTATCCAATAGCTACTATCATTCCAGTTTTACACTTGAGGAAATCGAAGTGTAGAGACAGTAAGTAGTTTTCTCAAGATTACGCAGCTAGAAACTGGTTGAACCAATACTACCCTCCTGTGTGATAACAGGGACTGCACATTGTCCTGTTTGACAGCGTACTAACTGCACGACTACATTTCGAAAGCCTTAAAAATGTGCACACCCTTTGGCCCATTTCTGAAAAAGTCAACTTAGATGTGTACAGAGGTCCCTGCAGCATTTCTACAATAGCACAGAATTTGGAAACAACCCAAAGGTTCAACAATATAGGGTTGGTTAAATTGTGGGTCATTTAGAACTAGAAACCTATATAACCTTTTTTTTTTTTTTTTTTTTTTTGAGACAGAGTCTCGCACTGTCGCCCAGGCTGGAGTGCAATGACACGATCTTGGCTCACTGCAACCTCCGCCTCCCAGGTTCAAGCAATTCTCCTGCCTCAGCCTCCCAAGTAGCTAGGCTTACAGGCGCGTGCCACCACGCCGGGCTAATTTTTTGTATTTTTAGTAGAGACAGGGTTTCACGGTTGGCCAGGCTGGTCGCGAACTCCTGACCTCATGATCCACCCACCTGGGCCTCCCAAAGTGCTGGGATTATAGGCATGACCCACCACGCCCAGTCTCATGACTATTAAAGTGATCATGTAAAAAAAATTTGATGTCCATGAACTACCATGTAGAAGAAGCAAAATGACAATACTTGTAATTACAAGTATTACAGCATGGTCCTGTTTTTGCAAAAACTACAGTATGTGAATTGAAGTAGAAAACTAACATGCAGAGAGGATCCTTGCGGCCAGGAGTTTGACACCAGCCTGGCCAACATAGTGAGACCCCCCACACACACACCATCTCTATAAAAAATAAAAAATTAGCCCAGAGTGGTGGCATGTGCTTCTAGTCTCAGCTACTCAGGAGGCTGAAGTAGGAGGGTCACTTGAGCCCAGGAGTTGAAGGCTGCAGTGAGCTAGGACCGTGCCACTGCACTACTCCAGCCTGGGTGACAGAGCAATATTCTGTCCAAAAAATAAATAAAAAATGAAACTAGTGTGTGTATTGGAAAGGTAGAATTAAAAATGTTGACAGTGGTTATTCCTGTGATGGGATTACAGTCAATTTTTATTTTCTTTATTTTTTGATGATCTGAATTTTCAAAGGTTTCTACCAGGAGCATGTATTTCTTTTGGGAAAAGTTTTTTTTAAAAAGTGAGGAGGTGTTGGAAACTTCCCATTTATTATGTTGTCATCTATTTTAAAAACAAACATACTACTTTGCTGAGAACGTTTTGAAAATATTTTTTTCCTATTACAAAAGCAATATGTGCTTGCCAAAAAAGGCAATCAGAAAGTACAGACAAGCAAAAAGAAGAAAATAAAAACACATTCCCTCCTACCCAGGAACAGCCAATATTAGCACCTTCATGACTCTTCATAAGCTATGTTGTTTTTTTTTTTTCAAGAGATGGTGTCTCACTATGTTGACCAGGTTGGTCTTGAATTCCTGGCCTCAAGTGATCCTCCCACCTCAGCCTCCCACAGTGCTGGGATGAGCCACCACGCCTGCCATGTTTTTTTTAAAGATAGCTCAACCTTCAATTTCTGCTCCAGGAGCTATTAAGGGCCCACCCTGTTGCCATTACTGGAAATATGAGTTTAGAAGGAGGTTTGCAGAGTCCTCTGTGATCCCCAGTTCCTAAGATGGTTTTGCCAGGTCTCAGGCTGTGTTTGAGGCCCCCAAATCACAGCTAGTGGTAAGCGTGGTAGACACCCTGGCCCTGGCCTGTTTCGGAGCACAAAACTCCTCATGTGTCATGGGGGCCCGGAGCTGTCAAGTACGAGGACCTTAAGAGTAATTCCTCACACGTTTAGGATTGCGACACCCTATCATTGTTTGATGTTGCAACCCTCCTTCCCCTTTACTGAAGGAATACATGCAGCATTTGCATATTTCGTTGGGTACTTTTCCACACGAGTTGAAGGGAATTAAGATTAATTTGGCTGCAAGACTACCAAAACCCTCCTTCCCCCACTCCTCGGATAATTGCAGGCAATCAGTCAGGGGTGTCTTCAGTTGGAGTGAAGGATGGCAGCTTTGAGGAGCCGTGAAGGCAGGTTCTGCCATGAGGAAGGCCACCCCAGGCCTGGGAGTACACCTACCAAGGCCAGATATCCCTGGGCCATTCTGACACTCCCCCGCACCCCACGCACACACAACAAGAGGTTTCCAAGGCCCACCCACACCCTCTCTACTAAAATCTCCCCTCCTGGGAAGGAGAGCCGGAGAGGCCTCCAGCTCCTGGCATCCAGCCCCAGTGGGTCCACGCCCTCAGCACAGCCCTGGAGCAGAAAATGTTCTTAGAGCTGATGTGCAAGTCACACCGTTTCTGCTTCCTCAAATGGGGTGATATTTACTCCTGGCGCAGACCCAGGCCCACCCTCCCACCAAGCTCCACAAGTTGAGCTGGTCTCATTGCTATCTGATATGTTCAGTCTTTCTGGAAACTTCAATGACCTTGGAAACTCTATTTTCCTTTACATGTGGCTGCTCTTGTCCACAATAATAACTATAGCTTCTGTTTATTACACTCCTTCTGTGCCAGGCACATTACAAACATGCAATACCCACAACAGTCTTTTGAAGTAGACACAATTATTCCCATTTCACAGATAAGAACACTGAGGTTCCGAGAAGTTATCTGTGCAAAGTCACACAACTACCGACAAAGATAGGAGTCAACCCAGACCTGCCTGACCCCAAAGCTTATGCACTGCCCTGAAAGGTCACTGCTCGAGGGAACCAAGAGAACATATAATCAATCCCCATTCCAATGACAAGACAGCTAAGCTGGAAAATTCATTTACAAACAGTTACATGGTACTTACGAGGTGCAAGGTGTTGCTTTAGCACTTTACAAATACCAGCTAATTCACCCTCATTGTATCACTATGAGATAGGTACTTTTTTTTTTTTTTTTTTTTTTGGAGACGGAGTCTTGCTCAGTCACCCAGGCTGGACTGCAGTGGTGCGATCTTGGCTCACTGCAACCTCTGCCTCCTGAGTTCAAGCGATTTTTCCTGCCTCAGTCTCCAGAGTAGCTGGGACTACAGGCGCGTGCCACCACACCTTGCTAATTTTTGTATTTATAGTAGAGATGGGTTTTCACCATGTTGTCCAGGCTCGTCTCAAGCTCCTGACCGCTGGTGATCCGCCCACCTTGGCCCCCCAAAGTGCTGGGATTACAGGCAGGAGCCACCATGCCCGGCCTTTTTTTACAGAGGAGAAAACTGAGGCACAGAGAGAAGAGTAAACTTGCCCAGGGACATACAGCAAGTGGTAGAGTCTGGATATGAAGCTAACTCTAGGGCCCGTGCTGCGTCTTCTATCCCAGAAGCAGAGACCCACCTCTCCTAAGTCATTGTCCTTTGACCTGTCTACAGCACCGCCACCTTCCTCATCTTTCTGAGAGTCCACTTCAAATTTCAGACTTCCTCATCCCACTCTGGGTGATGTTAGTGTTCTCTTGTGAAATTGCTTTGTGAAATGACTTACTGTGCAAGGCCATATTTGATTAGATCACTATCCAGAGTCCCTAAAGAACTAAGAGTTCTGCAAGGTTTATTGAAGCAAAACCTCAGTTGTTTCTGTGGAAGCTAATCAATTAATTAATAAACAGGGGCTTATTGAGAGCAGTTTGTGTCCCCAGCCCTGTGCTGGGCACCCTGGGGTCTGTGAACACAAAAGATGCACAGACTTGGACCCCAATAAAGAAATACAGTATATAAGTGCACACTGTGTGCTGAGCCTGTGTACAGCCATATTTCAAAAGACATATAGGATGGCTGGGCGCGGTGGCTCATGCCTGTAATCCCAGCACTTTGGGAGGCCAAGGCGGGTGGATCACTTGAGGTTAGGAGTTCGAGACCAGCCTGACAAACATGATGAAACCCCGTCTCTACTAAAAATACAAAAAATCAGCCAGGCATGGTGGCGGGTGGCTGTAATCCCAGCTACTCGGGAGGCTGAGGCAGAACTGCTTGAACCCCAGAGGCGGAGGTTGCAGTGAGCGGAGATTGCGACACTGCACTCCAGCCTGGGTGACACAGTGAGACTCCAGCTCAAAAATAAAAAATAAAAAAGACGCATAGGAGAGGAAAGTCAGAAGTCAGGAAAAGTTTTTAGGCAAGGGGTGGAATTTGAAATAGGCTTTTTTTTTTTTTTTTTTGAGATGGAGTCTCACTCTGTCACCCAGGCTGGAGTGCAGTGGCCTGATATCAGCTCACTGTAACCTCCGTCTCTCGGGTTCAAGTGATTCTCCTGCCTCAGCCTCCCGAGTAGCTGGGATTACAGGCGTGTGCTACCATGTCCAGCTAATTTTTGTATTTTTAGTAGAGACAGGGTTTCACCATTTTGGCCAGGCTGGTCTCAAACTCTTGACCTCAAGTGATCCGTCTGTCTCGGCCTCCCAAAGTGCTGGGATTACAGGCGTGAGCCACCGCGCCTGGCCTGAATTAGGCTTTGAAAGAAGGGACAGGGTTCCGATAGCAGGAAGAGAAAGAGCAGATTTCGCAGCAGAAGCAACAGGCATGTTTTCTGCATCCAAATCGGCCAGATCCTCAGAAAGAAACGAAAGAGAGAAAAGGCTAGAATGGTTCGTGTGTTTTGGTTTGGCTTGGGTTTTTTTTCTGTCAAGTTTTGCTATTTCCACCAAAGTGAATACAGAAAAACTCCCTTGCTGGCAGCACCGCGACGAGGCTTCTGGATTGGAGAAGGGCGCGCTGCCTCACATGTGCACTAGGGGGCAGAGCTGCCGCGGGGCTGCTGTAACTCCAAGAACAACCAGAGGGCAAGGGGAAGGATCCCAGCCCCTTCCTCAAATCAGGCGGCTGCAGGACGGGAGGGCAGTTGGAAAGCAGTCGTCTTCTTAGTCCGAGTTGCCTTCATATTCAGCCTAGAAGTTAGGGAAGAAACAGCGTGTAAGAGGAAGTTGGGTGAGACTGAAAGGGGAAAGAGAAAGAGAGAAGCATTGAAGAGGCACTCTTCCCCACCCCCAGCAAGGAACCCTCCATGTGCCATGAAAAGACTTCCAAACAGCAGAAAAGGGTTAGGGCTACTCCTGCCTCCTGCTGTAATCTTGGCTGAGAAAAGTTTAATGCAAGGCTTGGGTAACTATGAAAAGTGACCAACTGCTAGACTAAGACTGGTTTCAGAACAGCCGACTCCTGTTCCCTGGACAGGGGTGACCATTCCAGCTGCTCTAAGGAGGAATGCTTGAGGCTTTAGGAAGTACACAATTCTTGGCCATCCCCCCCAGGCCCTGGTGTCATGGTGTGGGCTGCGTGTGGCAGCAGACGTGACAATGGCGTTCTTTAAGAGCCCTGAAGTCAATATTTAGCCTAAATGTACAACCCACCAGCTGAGCCAGGCAACAGGGTTCTGAAGCACAGGAAATTAGAAGCACCTAGGCGATGTGGAACACTATTTGAAGCTAGATATCCTGACTTTTATCAGTTTCTAACTAGCTGTGCAAGTTTGGATGGTCGAACCAACTTCTCTGAGCTTTAATTTCCCTGTTGGCGAAATAGGTTAAATTAGATTAAAAGTCTCCGATGTGACTTCCAGCTCTGAAACTCTGGAAAACACACACTCCTTCAGCCAGAGGAACTGGGGAATCTAGGGGGCAGGGATGGGGGTGGGAGGATGGTGACAGGCGTCTTGAAGGATTAACCCCACGCTTCTCCTCGCAATTGCAATCGGCTCCCCAGCAGCGGCCACTGCGGCACTGCCTGCCCCACCCCCGCCCTCTGGGCCCGGCGGTACACACCCACGGCTCCCTCAGAGACTTCTGGAATCTCGCTGGATTTCTCCCAGGAATGCTTATTGCCCTTTAGATCTGCAAATCGCTTTACATCAGCAACCCTGCCGCGCGATTATTAATCATCTCAATATTCTCCCCCATCCCCTACCCTCCCCCTCGCCCGGCCTGGAAGAGGAATTGCAGGGGTCCGGATTTATGAAGGTGATTCGTATTATTCATTCAATAATCAGTTAACTAAAGTTCATTAAGCGCCTAATAGGAGCAAGGTGCAGAGACACACAAATCCAATCACCACAGGGGGCAGAACTGTAGGGGGTCGATGCTCAAAGAACTTCACTGATATTCCAGTTATGTCCTGGGGAGGGGGTGGTTAGAGGGTGATGGAAAAGCTCCCCTCACAAGCCTGATGACAGTGCTGCAACCATTATGGACCACCCCCACGGTTCGTTTTATCATGCCAGGAAAAGGAAAATGGCCTTCCCAAGGTCACTTATCCCCCGAGGGGCAACACTGACCCCAGAACCGCCGTCTTCAAAGCTTTCCACTGTGCCATGAAGGAAAATTTTGAGTTGAAGCCTATAAAATACAGCGTTGGGCGAGAGATGGCATGATTTCCGGGCACAGAGTGAGAAAATCGTGATCCCAGATCACCCACCCACAACAAACGAGACCGCCCCAAATCTTGACTGCAGCTACAACCAGCAGACGCACAGGAATGCTGGAAACAGCTCATTCATCCATCGCGGCGCCCTCTCTCTGGGCCCCCAGCGCCCCTGCCCTTGCCTCCGCCTGGGTGGGTCCCGGGACAGGAGGCGGGGGTCTCGTGGCTCGGAGCCTTCGCCCAGCATTCCAGGGGCGGGGCAGGGACCGGGGGCGGGGCGCGGCGGGAGTCCCGCCCACAGCCTACCCCGGGCCGGCGGCGCAGTGGCTGAGCCAAATATGGGCAGAGCGGAAGCGGCGGGCCGGCGTCACGGCGCCGGGTGGGGGCCGCGCTGCGGGGCGGTGACGGGAGTCGCTGACGGCGCCTACGTGTCACCGTGGAAACCAAACAGTAAACAGAGGACTCGCGAGCTCCTGGCACCGTCTGGCCCTGCGACCTGCCCTGGAGCAAAGGGCCGGAAGCTGGGAAGGGCCAGGAGAAACCTTGGCCTGGCCGACGAGGACAGGGGCGCGGCAAGGGTGTAGAGAGGGCGGTGGAGGGGACGCTGAGAGAGCACTCCCAAACGTCCCTCCCTGAGGTCCCTGGAAGCCGGCTCTCCCTCTGCCCACGGGCCAGCAGGGGCTGGTCAGGAGCGGAAGGAGGCCCTCCTGTCCCTTCTTTTTCTTTTCCTTTGTTTTTTTTTTTTTTTTTTTTTTTTTTTTTGAGATGGAGTCACGCTCTATCGCCCAGGCTGGAGTGCACTGGCGCGATCTCTGCTCACTGCAACCTCTGCCTCCCGGTTCAAGCGATTCTCCCGCCCCAGGCTCCCAAGTAGCTGGAACTACAGGCGCGCGCCACCGTACCCGGCTAATTTTTTACATTTTTAGTAGAGACAGGATTTCACCACGTTGGCCAGGTTGGTCTCCAACTCCTGACCTCAGGTGATCCGCCCGCCTCGGCCTCCCAAAGTGCTGGGATTACCGCGCCCGGCCTCTCCTGTCCCTTCTGAGGGCCTCCGTGCCTGCAAGGTTGTTGCGGATACTGATTTTGCTTTGTTTTTCCTTTCTAATGGCTAAGAGTTCAGGCATTGAAGCCACACTGCCTGGACTCTAATTCCAGCGCTGCCACTCCAGTTGGATGATCTTGAGCAGACCTCTGCGCCCCAGACTATATTATTATCTACAAAAATAAGGATAATAGCAGGACCTACCTTTAAGAGTAGATGAGGACTTTTAAAATGAGTGTGTGTGTGTGTGTGTGTGTGTGTGTGTGTGTGTGTGTTTGGAACAGTGTCAAGCATGTTGTGAGCCCCAAGTTAGTGTTAAGTGTTTATTTTTATTCCCAGGCAGCACAAGAGAAACTTACGTAGTATTAGTAGTGCATCTCCTAAATCTACTACTGACGTAATGTTTTTTTTCTCGAGTCTTCTTTAGATTTAAAATAAAAGGGGGCCGGGCGCTGTGGCCCACGCCTGTAATCCCAGCACTTTGGGAGGCCAAGGCAGGAGGATCACTTGAACCTAGGAGTTCTAGACCAGCCTGGGCAACATAAGGAGACCCCGACTCTACAAAAATAAAAAAAAATAGCTGGGCATGGTGGTGCACACCTGTGATCCCAGCTACTTGGGAGGCTGAGGTGGGAAGATCTTGGGCCAGGGCAGTCAAGGCTGCAGTGAGCCTTGATTGCAGTCACTGCACTCCAGCCTGAGTGACAGGGAGACCCTCTCTCAAAAATAAATAAGCAAAAGGAATTATCTATTTTAAAGATAATATTCAAATCTAGTAAAAATATTTAGTTATTAACTAAAATGTGCATTTGTCAAATAAAAACATGGCAAAACACTGTATCACACTGCTTCGCAATTTTAAATTTTAAACACGAAAACTCCAAATGGTTACATGGAACAGAAGCAACTCAAATTCAGTCTTCACAGTCATTGTGTTATCTCTGTTTTTTAAGTAATTTTTTAAAATGAAGCGTACATATTACATTATTCAAACTCAATAGTAATCCCAGCAACTGTTTAGGACTTAAAACAACCAAAGATTTTTTCAGGAAGAAGTACTTTGTCACTGACAACATTAGAATTGCCAGCTCATAGTGTTTATTTAAAAGGCAGACTGCCCAAAGACCTGAAAGGCCCAGAGGTGTTCTAGGTCCCGACGCGGCTGCTGGAAGCCACCTTTGGTGAGTGTGCCCAGTGCTGGCCTGGGTGCCCTACCTGGGAGCTCTCATCCCCTTCCCCCAGCAGGCCCGTATGGATAATCCCTTACATCGAGCAGATGAGCAAGGCCATGCTCCAGCTGAAGGCTCTGGAGTCTTCAGACCTCACCGAGGTCGTGGTTTACAGCTCCTATTGGTACAAGCTCCAAACCAAGTGGATGCTCCAGTCCATGGCTGAGTGGCACTGCCAGCACCAGGAGCAAGGGATGCTCAAACTTGCAGAAGCCATGAATGCCCTCAAACTAGACCCTTGGATGAAGCGAACCAGCTTCCGGCCAATGTGATGGAGGCCAGGATGTAGAGATTAGGTTGTGGCCAGAGCCGGAGTGGTTCCAGCTTGGTTTAAACTCTGCTCCAGCCTGATGAATTAAGGAAAAACCATCTCTTTGGGGATCTCTGCCCTTGCTCTGAGTCCTGTTGTGAATATCTTTTTTGAAGGTTGCCAATTAAAGAAGAAAGTTTTGGGGTTTTCTCATTTTTCTTTATTAAGAATAAAGTTTTAAATAAGGGAAAATTTTTAAAAGGCAGACCAACTTTTTTTGGTTTTATTATTCGTTTGAAATTCTAAGCAGATAATGTGATCCCTTGTGGATAACAAATCCTAGAGTGACCCACAGTGATTCCTGCTTCCTGATGTCCATGCCTTTGTGTAATTCCCTCCATCTGAGTGCAGGTGGAACCTGAGACTTGCCTCTTAGCAATAGAAAATGCAAAGGTGATGGGATGTCACTCCCGTAATTTTATGTCTGTGTATGGCCCCATCTTGCTGGCATGCACTGGAGAGGTTCTTGTCGCAGGCTTGATGAAGTGAGCAGCTGTGTTGAAGAAGTTTACAAGGCAGCCTCTAGAACCGAAGGGTAGCCTCAGCCAACAGCCAGCAAAATGCCAGAGTTCTTAGTTATACAGCCACAAGGAAATACAGTCTGTGAACAACCTGAGTGAGCTTGGAGGTGGACTCTTCCCCACTCAAACATCCAGCTGAAAACACAGCTCAGCTGACACCTTGATTGCAGCCTCGCGAGACCTTGAACACAACACTGTTCTGTTCAGAAGATGGATGGAGTTTGCTAGATAAGCAACTGGCTATACCTGGACTCCTGATGTTCAGAAACTGTGAGATAATAAATGTGTGTTGCTTTAAGCTGCTAAGTTTGTGGTAAATTGTTATACAGAAATAGAACCAAATACATTCTCATTGCCTATCCCTAGAACAGACTGCTCCCACCTCCCCATGCTTGGTACACTTCTGTGGCTCTGTACACACTGCTCAGGCCTCCCATCTTAAAAAGGTTCCGTGAGAGGATTACAAGGAGTGTCAACTGCAGAGCATGCCCCAGTGTTGCTACTAGAACATCAAGCATCTAAGAATGATGTGGTGCGGGCACTTTAGGGCATTTTCGTAGCAGTCTCCTGATGTCATCAGAGTTTTGAAGATGGAAAGGGAGCTTAGAGATTTTTGAATCCCACCCCTAATCTGGCATAGGAAATAGTCTCAGAGGGGTTGAAATCTCACCCCAGGTCACATAAGCACATCTTTAAGAGCAGATGTTCACATTCTAGCAATGCAGTTAAGCACTTTGGGTTTTAGAGTCACAAAGAGCTGGATTCAAATCTTAGATCTGCTACTTACCAGTTGTGTGACCTTGGTCAGCTTATTTAACCTTTCCTAAATTGTTTTCCTTATCTGTAAAATGACACTAATCATATCTGCCTCATAGGATTGTTGTGAGGACTAAATGAGAGCATTTATTAAACAAAATAATTATTGTATGCCCATTACGTGCCAGTTGCTAGAGGTACAATGATTAGCAAACCAAAGTCATTGATTTAGCATGGCCTATAAAGTGCATAGCACAACCTGGCACAGAGCAAGCACATGTGAAATACTGGGCATTATCAATATTTTCTCTTAAGGCTCCAGGTTCTATCCCAACCATTTGCCTCCAGACAAGCTCTATAAACTCATATCATAGAACCTCTGCTGTGGTTCCAACTGCCCACATCTCCCCATAGATACTCCCCAGGCATTGCAAACTCAACATGTCCAACATAGAATTTACCTTTTTAACCCCCAAACCTGTTCCTCTTCCTATAGTCACAAAGCCATTGGTGGAAACACAAGCCTCCCGTGTTTCAAGCCTGGTAAACCTGACGGTGAGCTTGGGTTCCTCCCTCTCCCTCACCTCCACCACCTACTCAATCACCAGGTCCTGACCCCCTAATTACCTCTTGTTCCCTCTCCATTCCCACCACCACTGCCTTGGTTCAGCCTACACATAACTGAGCTAAGTAAGCACCAGGCTTTTCATGATCTGGTCACAGTGATCTCTTCTTGGCTGATCTTCAGCCCCATCTATTTGATGATGCAATATTGATATAAGTGAAATTAAATGCACTTGCGTGATGTTCTGTAATTTACATCTCCTCCTCATCATCTCCCCCTCACTGCCCCCTCACACACTTTGTAGTTGAGCAAAACCAAATTCAGTGTTTTATGAGTCTGTGCCCTTGCAGTGCTAATCCTCAGCCCAGAAGCTCTCTACCCTGCCACTTGCTCATCTAGCAAGCTCCATACACCTTCGAAGCCTAGCTGAAAGGTCACCTTCCTCAGAGACTCCCCCAGAGAGAGTTTGTCACTACCTCTTCCATGTAACTCCTGAACCTGGTGTTAATTTCCATTGTTACAGTGTATTATAAGGTTTGTGTTTACCTGTCTTTCTCCCTTACTTGAGCTCTTTGAGGACAGGATTGTCTCTTCCTCACACTGAATTCAATACCTGATACATAGCAGACACCCAGAAACTTTTTATTAAATGAAATGAAGCCCATACATGTTCCCCTGACCCCCATCTCCCTAAACTATAAAGATAATAAAAGCAGCTAACATTTCTTCTTTTTTTTATTTTTTTTTTTCTGAGATGGAGTTTCGCTCTTGTTGCCCAGGCTGGAGTGCAATGGCGCCATCTCAGCTCACTGCAACCTCTGCCTCCCAGGCGCAAGCAACTCTCCTGCCTCAGCCTCCCAAGTAGCTGGGATTACAGGTCCCACCACCACGCCCAGCTAATTTTTGTATTTTTAGTAGAGATGGAGTTTCAACATGTTGGCCAGGCCGGTCTTGAACTCCTGACCTCAGGTGATCCACCCACCTCGGCGTCCCAAAGTGCTGGGATTACCGGCGTGAGCCACTGTGCCCAGCCAAAAACAACTAACCCTTCTATCATACTTCTGTGTGCCCAGATGCTGTGATATTCAGTCTATACATACCAACTTATTTAATGTCCACAACAACCCCAAGAAGTGGATACAATTATTATCCCCATCTTACAGGAGGGAAAACTAAGGAGCAGAGAGGTTAAATAACTTACCCAAAGTCTAGGAGTGAGGATTCAGGGCTAAGTCTATGCTTTGGACCACTCTGCTAAATTGGATCCAATTCTTGCCTGGGTGCGGTGGCTCACGCCTGTAATCCCAGCACTTTGGGAGCCCAAGGCAGACGGATCATTTGAGGTCAGGAGTTCGAGACCAGCCTGGGAAACATGGTGAAACCCCATCTCTACTAAAATTACAAAAAGTCACCAGGCATGGTGGCATGCGCCTGTAATACCAGCTACTCAGGAGGCTGAGGCAGGAGAACCGCTTGAATCCAGGAGGCAGAGGTTGCAATGAGCCGAGATTGTGCCACTGCACTCCAGCCTGGATGACAGAATGAGATACTGTCTCAATACATAAATACATACATACATACATACATTGGATCCAATTCCCCAAATTTAGATCAATATATTATATTGTTTTGATAAATTTAGCTGTGATGATAGTCACATCACTGACAAAAAGCCTAAAAACAAATCATTGCTTCCATAGATTTGACCAAAAATTGTTCCCCAAAGTAAGCATGGCGGCAACTGGAGACTGGGTCACTTACATTTAGCACGAAGGTATTTCGTTTTGCTCAGTCTAGACCCTTTAATAGGGGCCCCTTTGTATGGGTCTGCTTCTAACATAACCAACAATTAAACCCGTGCGGGTTCCCAGCCCTCCCAGTCACCTGACTGTACCAAACCCAATCACCTTGAGCTGAAAGGGAAAAGGGCTTATTAAGAAGAGCTGGCTGGGCTCGGTGGCTCATGCCTGTAATCCCAGCACTTTGGGAGGCTGAGACCGGCGGATCACCTGAGGTCAGCAGTTGGAGACCAACCTGGGCAACATGGTGAAACCCCATCTCTACAACAATACAAAAATTAGCCAGGCATGATAGCAGTTGCCTGGAATCCCAGCTACTCTGGTGGCTGAGACGGGAGTGAGGCAGGACAATCGCTTGAACTCAGGAGGCAGAGGTTGCAGTGAGCCAGCCTGGGTGACAGAGTGAGACTCCGTCTCAGAAAAAAAAAAATGGAGAGCTGATGGCCATAAGGCCAGGCAGGCTCCAGAGCCCTTACTGCTCTGTGTCCTCTTAAGCAACTGAAGAATGCTTGGGCAAAGGAAAGGCAACTTAGTTTAGTCCAAAAATAGATGTGTGGAACCACGAAAATAAATTGTGTTGCAACGGAACTGGTTTACGTTTCTGTTGCTTTCTCCCGCATGCAAAGGAAATGGAAATCTATCCAACCATCCCCCTTCAGAGACTTTGCACTGATTCCTCAGGATTCAATGTACCCTATTTCTACCTGCTTCTCCTCAGGTCTGGGCATATTCTTGGCAAATGATAATTATGATGATGATGTTGATGTGATAATAATGATAGTAGCTAACCCTTATTCTTCTATTTTAATGCAGACTAAATTATAGGTTTTACCATTTAGCACACTGATTGCTAGGAACCATTGAACTCAAATGGGATTTTTGTGATAGTCTGAAAGTTTTATAGCAGTAAGAGTGAAAAACATAATTTTGTTTGTTTCTTTGAAAATGATTATATCTAAATTTATATATGCATTCATTCTGCATTTAATAGCGAAACAATTTCTCAACCTATAATTAGCCTAGAAGTGTCACTGACCTACAGCTTACTTGTATTTTTTGTACCCCTTAAAATTCTTTCCCAAGCTAGCTAGCTCCTCATCTTAATATTGTAGAATCCTCGAAGGCAATTTTTTTAAACAAATGGGCATACTCTTCTACCCTGAAAAAAATCTGTGAAGTATATAGTTTATCTTCACTTTAAGTTCTAGCTATGTCCCTGTCAATATTTTTGTAATTTTCATCTGCATTCATTCACTCATTCATCTTCTTTATTCAACATGCACTTGAGGGCCTAATAGACACTAGAGATACAAATGTGATCAAGACAGAAAAGGTTCCCGCTCACATGGAACTTACAGTTCAGGGATAAGAGACAGACAATTTTCTTTTTTTTTTGAGACAGGGTCTTGCTCTGTCACCCAGGTTAGAGTGCATTGGCACGATCTTGGCTCACTGCAACCTACACCTCCTGGGTTCAAGCGATTCTCCTGCCTAAGCCTCCTGAGTAGCTGGGATTACAGGTGCACACCACCCACCCCCAGCTAATTTTTGCATTTTTAGTAGAGACAGGGTTTTGCCATGTTGGCCAGGCTGGTCTCGAACTCTTGACCTCAGGTAATCCGCCCACCTAGGTCTCCCAAAGTGCTGGGATTACAGGCGTGAGCTACTGCACCCGATGAGACAGACAATTTTTTAAAAGGAAAATAACACATAAATTAGATATTGCAAGTAGGGATACAGGCTGTGAAAAAACAAAGCAGGATAACTAAATAGAGAGTCCTAGGGAGCAAGTATGTCCCGAAGTCACCCTAGATAGAATGACCAGGGAAAGCCCCTTGGAGGACATGTCCTTTGAGCAGAGTCCCAAATGACAGGATGCCGCCAGCCTGGGGCAAGAGGCCCCGGCAGAGGGACTGCAAGTGCAGAGGCCCTGCTGCAGGAGTACGTGTTCTATGTGCCAGGAGTGGAAGGAAGGCTCGTGAGCAGAGTGCCTGTAGGGAAGAAGGAAAAGAGATAGAGTGGGAGAGGAATTAAAAGTCAACTTTTTTTTTTTTTTTTGGTGGAGGGGTGGTGTTTAGGAGTAGAGGTTTAATAAGCAAAAGAAAGAGAAAGGAGAATAACTCTCTCTTCAGTAGAGAGACAGGGGACCCTGAGTGAGACTTCCTAAAAGTCAACTCTTTAATATTAATAGGAAAACAGCACAATTTAAAGCATTCTGCTATTCAGCATTCAAGTGAGGCTCATATCTCTTTTTTTTTTTTTTTTTTTTTTTTTGAGGAGTTTGGTTACTCTGTTTGGAATGAGTCTCATACACCATTTAGAGATCAATTTTGTTTTAGCTTTTTTTCAACTGTAAAAACATTGAAACTTTAGACGATTACCTCAAGATAATCAACTGAGAACTTTTACTGTGCCTCAATTTTTTTTTGTCCGTTAATTAAAGATAGCATAATTGATTTACTTTCATTCACACATGGGAATTGCTGTTGATACAAAATTACTGTTATTAGAACAAATTGTTAAATCCTACCCTTTAATTTTGATAATTACACAAGATGCAGTGATGTGCAAAGATGATGCAGAATCTACAATCCACTATTCTACAGAGATAAATATTTTTCCTCTTCCCTCTTCCCATTGAAAATTAATTTGGAGCCAGAAGCCCAATGGCAGCTTTGAAGTTGAATTGGCAGAGGTCATCCAGGAAGACAGTGAAGGAATTCCAGGAGGCAAGGATGGGAATGGGGTATATTTTTGCAGCCAGACATAAAAGATGTAAAATTCCCATTGCTTAATATACTAACAGGGACCAGGAGAGGAGAAGTTAAAGAATATGTGTGGAATATATTTCTGTGTATGGAAATAGCACAGAATTTATTCATCCACTGGGCAAAATATTAATTAACCTTGTACCATGTGCCAGGCACTGAGCCAGTTCTGGGGATCCTGGTGAGCTAAACTGGACATAATCCCCATGAGGAAATGACTTCTGCCTCTATCCCCTTCAATTATATGTATATGTCTTTAGCAATGTTGAATAGTGGTGCCCTCTGGTAGTTGTTTTCTTTTTTGTTTGTTTTTTGTTTTTTTGAGACAGAGTTTCACGCTTGTCACCCAGGCTGGAGTGCAATGGCATGATCTCAGCTCACTGCAAGCTCCGCCTCCCAGGTTCATGCCATTCTCCTACCTCAGCCTCCCGAGTAGCTGGGATTACAGGTGCCCGCCACCACACCCAGCTAATTTTTTTGTATTTTTAGTAAAGACGGGGTTTCACTATGTTGGCCAGGCTGGTTTCGAACTCCTGACCTCAGGCGATCCACCCACCTTGGCCTCCCAAAGTGTTGGGATTACAGGTGTGAGCCACCGCGCCTGGCAGGTAGTTGTTTTATTGAGATTAGCATGAGGCCATAGCTTGTGGGTAGGAATCCGACAAAGTCTTTTTCAAAAGAAAGTTGAAGGCCAGGTATGGTGGCTCACATCTGTAATCCCAGCACTTTGGGGACCAAGGTTGGGGGGATCACTTGAGGTCAGGAGTTCGAGGCCAGCCTGGCCAACATGGTGAAACCCTGTCTCTACTAAAAATACAAAAATTAGCCAGGAGTGGTGGCAGTTGCCTGTAATTCCAGCTACTCAGGAGGCTGAGGCAGGAGAATCACTTGAAGCCGGGAGGCGGAGGTTGAAGTGAGCCGAGATGGCAGCAGAGCGAGACCCTGCCTAAAAAACAAAAAAAATAAACAAAAAACAAAAACAAAAAATTTCCCAGAGTTAATAATCCCTGAGAGTTGTCCAGTCCTGAGTGAGTAAAAGGGATTTGGAAGGAGCCATTTAGCTGGAGAAAGGAGGAAGGAATTTCTTCTCTCAAGCCCATGAAAGTGGTCAGCAGGAAGCTTGGTGGGATGTCAACCCTGGGGATCCGATGGTCTCTGATTTCCTCTTTCTGGACCTTTAACGCCATCTTGATGTAGCAGCCTGGTCTCCACTGGGCTGTGCAATAAGCTAGAGCAAGGGTCTGTGTCTGGGCCTTGGCCAGGGCTGTCAAAGGGAAAGCAATGCTCACCCTCTAGAGTAAGCATGGGGCTGACAGGGACCATGATTGAGGTCCCCAGGAGCAGGTCAATGTCCGAAGGTCCAGCTGCCCTTCTTCATCTGGGAAATCGTCTTCCTTTTCTTCCTCTGGTTGTTATTATTGCACACCTACAGGAACCAGCTGGGTTCCTTTTTTTTTTTTTTTTTTTTTTTGAGATAGGGTTTTGCTGTGTCACCCAGGCTGGAGTGCAGTGGTGGTGCAATATCAGTTCTCTGCAACCTCCCCCTCCCAGGCTCAAGTCATACTCCTGCCTCAGCCTCCTGAGTAGTGTAGCTGGGACAACAGAAGCACACTGGGTTTTGCCATGTTGCCCAGGCTGGTCTCAAACTCCTGGACTCCAGTGATCCTCCTGTCTCAGCCTCCCAAAGTGCTGGAATTACAGGTGTGAGCCACCGCTCCTGGCCCACCAGCTGGGTTCCTTACAGGGTAGATCACCTTGTTATTTCAGACCAGGTGTTTGTTAGTTATATTAATTCTGTATTTAGTTTAGGTATATTTAAAGGCTATAAAATATTTGCCCTTTGAACAGCAAACAGGGATCCTAAGGCCACTGTCATCACAAGTCTAGCAGAAACAGCACCCCAAGTGGTGTGTGATATAGGAGTGATCTAAAGAGCGGTAAGTTGCTTTTAAATGTCCATTTTTATGGGAGGGGCAGAGATATCATAGACGAGAACATCAACCTCAGTAAAACTGTCATTTTGAATTAAAACTTTTAACTCGGTTGAATATGACACCCCATAAGCACCCAGTGATTTTCATTATCACCAAAGCATTAGAAGACTGGCGCTGAAGCTCTTCTTCCACCCAGTGTGTGTGAAAACATAGTGCATGGTGCCTGCATGATACTCGCGAGCAGAGGCAGAAGGGCGGTCTCCTTTCCCTGTGGTTTGTACGTGTGCATGTGTGTGTAAGTGCCCCATTACCAGAGACGTCCCGGACAAAGGTCACGTTCTTCCTTAAGATGATAAAGTTTCTAAGTTAAAGCTTGTTCAGAGTCATGTTGACTTCTCCTTCTTGAGCTATTATGTAACTTTTTGTTTGCAGAACGATCAGCCATTATTTGTGCTGTTTGAGATATCTTTTGATTTCTGAGCAACTTTTTCTCCCCCACTTCCGCCCACTATAAACTGAATGAAGGGCATATGGTATTAGAGAAACCAGAAACCACAATGCATTTATTAATAAGGGATAGGGCAATAGCCCTCCTTCCCTTTCGAGAATAAAAGAGTACAAAAAAATGTACACATTAGTGAAAACTTTTTTTTTTAAACAGAGTTTCAATCTTGTTGCCCAGGCTGGAGTGCAATGGCGCAATCTCAGTTCGCTGCAACATCCGCCTCCCGAGTTCAAGTGATTTTCCTGTCTCAGCCTCTCAAGTAGCTAGGATTACAGGCATGCACCACCACACCAGGCTAATTTTGTATTTTTAGTAAAGACGGGGTTTCTCCATGTTGGTCAGGCTGGTCTCGAACTCCCGACCTCAGGTGATCCGCCTGCCTCGGCCTCCCAAAGTGCTAGGATTACAGGCATGGGCCACCGCGCCCGGCCTGAAAATTTTTTTTAACCAAGTATCAAGAGGCAGTTCAGCCTGCTGGATACGATAACGAGCAGGAAGATTCTAATGCCGATAACGGAATATCAAGAAAGTTGTTTATTCTAACCATTCTTCAATTTGCTCATCTTTGAAGTAGAATAACCCTCCACGTGATTTTGTGAGAATAAAAAGTTAAAATAGTCTGTACAAAGCTAGGTTCTGTTTGCTTAAAGGGTTCCTTTAAGATCAAAACATCTGAATTTAATATTAGCACAACAAAATTTAAATATTTCCCCCTGCGAGTACTGAAACAGAAAAAATGTATTCCCACAAAAGCTGTTACACAGCGGTTTCCCGTCCCCAGAAGCAGTAGAAAATCTTAGCATTCCAATGGAAGGCATGTATTTGTAAAATATTCTAAAATCAGCTCTATAGTTTCCTTGTCCTCTTTGATAAGGGATCAGACAGAGGGTGTGTCCCCCTCCAGCAGCTACCCTTCTTGACAAACTGGTCTCCAATAATACCTTTCAGAAACTTACAAGACTTCCAGAATGAAAAGAGCACAAGGTTGGTCGCATTCAACTTAAATGCTTTTATTGACAATGTCTTGGAACAATAAGCAAACAATGCTTAAATTTTTCATTCAAATTCACTTTCCACATGTCAAAAGACCTCAAGGTAGAAAAAAATAAAATAAAAATATAAATATCTGAGAATCCATCTTAATAAATAAATTAAAAACACAATAAAACGTTTTCATGGAAAACTGTTAATGTCAGAACATTCAGACCACCTCAACAATGCATGATCAGTAACATTACAATGAACATTGATGTTGAAGAAAAACTACAGTACATGGATATAGCTATTTATTTCTATCTACCAGAAAATAAAGTCGTATCTTTTCTTAGTATAATATTGGTCATTTCTAATCAGAACACACTATTGCCAGGAACACAGTAGTTATTGTTAAAATCAGCTGCACTAGATACAATTTGAAAATATCCAGCACCAGGTTAATTCCAATAATGAACCCAATAGATTAGTTAATGCTATGAGAAGACTAAGGAGAAAGAGAAAAGAGACACAGACCCAGGCCTGGCTCAACATGCTACTAACTACCAGCTCTCTGAAGTGTCACTGGGAACAATACACACTCCATGCGTTTTGCTACATCTCCGGAAGAGGTAAGGACTTGAGTCCACACATGGATGCTTTCAAGTCCTTGAGGCCCACAGCCTGGTGTGTTTCACGCACAGATAAGGTCCTCCCTAGGTCTACAGGAACCCTCTAGGGAAGATGTGTTTCTCCTCTCTGTAATGCACCAGCTCGGGCAGTGGCACTTGTGGGTGCCGGCTGCCTCCCCTTCCCTGCCCCCTCACAGGGCCAGCAGCGTGGGTGAGCTGAGCGAGTCAGAGGAAGGCTCATTGCTGCTGCTGCCCTTGCGGTGGGCAGCTGCACAGCTGGGGAAGGAGTCAGCCTCGGGGTAGGTGAAGACGAAGGAAGACGTGTAAGCAGTGCAGCTGGGAGTACAGGTGACCACCGGAGTGCACAGGGGCTCCAGCTCTGTGGCCATGGGCCCCATCCCCAGGGAGCCACTGTGCAGAGGCTCCCAGTCTGCTGCATAGAAGGACCCAGATAGGTCCATGTCTGGCACGGAGCGGGCTGTCTCAGAGCCACTGGGCCTGGATGATGCTGGGAACAGGAAGTCATCAAAGGGCTCGGTCTTCAGCTCCATGCTGCTGATGCTCTTGACAGGTTCCACTGAGGGCTTGGGCTCAGGGTCATTGAGGAGAGGCAGGGTGAAGGCCTCCTCAGACTCCGGGGTGGCAACCTCTGGCAGGCCCCCAGTCAGATCAAGGGAAGCCACAGACATCTCTTCTGGGAAGCCCAGGTCATCAGGGATCTTGCAGGCAGGTCGGTGAGCTGCCAGGATGAACTCTAGTTTTTCCTTCTCCTTCAGCAGGTTGGCAATCTCGGTCTGCAAAGCAGACTTCTCATCTTCTAGTTGGTCTGTCTCCTGTATACAGAGGGATAAAGGAAAGCATAAGACACAGTCTTACTCAAGGGCCCTTATGCTCAATCTCCAACTTTCCCCTTAAGTTTTAAAAAGGAGCAACCCACAGAGTACCTACCGCTTGGAGTGTATCAGTCAGCTCCCTCCTCCGGTTGCGGCATTTGGCTGCAGCCATCTTATTCCTTTCCCTTCGGATTCTCCTTTTCTCTTCTTCTTCTGGAGATAACTAGAATAATCACAAAAAAAGACCGACATTCAGTAAAAGTGTCTGCCATCACCTCCATTCACCCACCCCAGTAGAACTGGCTCCTGCAGCTTCCCTGCTTCCTGGCACCCCACTGTGAAACCATTTCTGACCTGCAGTTGCAGACTAGGTGTGACTTGCATTTAAAATAAGATCCTCAGCAAGAGAACAAAGAAGAGCCCAGTCTGAAAGCATGCGGTAAGAAACTTAGGGAAGAAACTATGAGAGTACTTCTTAGGGTGAGACTCAGAGTCTGAGTTGGGATGGAATGGGCTTGGAGCCAGGGCTCCCAGTTACGGATGTGCAGCCAGCCCCATCAGTGGCTTCATCCTCTGTACTGGGCTCCTGCATCTCCGGGGCTGCTTCCCACCCAGCCCCCACATTCCCAGGAAGAGTACGCTAGAGTTCCTCACCTGTTCCACCTTGCCCCTCCTGCCAATGCTCTGCGCTCGGCCTCCTGTCATGGTCTTCACAACGCCAGCCCTGGAGTAAGCCCCAGCGGAGGGGGCGGGGACTCCGAAAGGGTGAGGGGCTCTGGTCTGCGATGGGGCCACGGAGGAGACGAGGGCGGGCTGCACCAGCCACTGCAGGTCCGGACTGGTCGAGATGGCAGTGACCGTGGGAATGAAGTTGGCACTGGAGACGGCCAGGTCCGTGCAGAAGTCCTAGAACAAAACAGAAGGGGAAAGCCGACGTGAGCGAGCAGGTTCCGGACACAGGTGGGGCGAGTTCCCAGTGCCGCATGCAGCAGTGAAGAGAAACGATCCTGCCACGGACATTTCATCTTAAATGTCCCTCATCCTGGATGAAAGGTCTCCCCCTTTTCCTCCCAGGCATTCCGCAGCGCAGTGCCTGTCTCTTCCATCCTGCCGCTGCGTTCCCGTTATCCCTTCAGCATCACTTGCTTGAAAGGGGGTTTGTTATAAATATCCCTGACGTCTGCGCTGACGCAGGCGCCGCTCCGGAGTCTCCAGAATGAACTCGCTTTTTATCAATGAAACTGCCTTACACACCCGCCCGCTGCACCCTCCTCCCTCATCCCTCCTCCGTGCTCCAGGCTGCCGGGGGAGGGGGGATTGCCGCTTTCTGCCACCTCCCCGGAGAAGCCAGGCTCTAGTTAGCGAGTTTGTGCTTGGGACACGTCTGCTCCAGCTAATGTCAGAGATCCGTCCTGGAGTGCAGACCAGAGGTTGCTCAGAACGAACCTGCCTCCCGAAGGGGGAACCAATTCTTACTATGGCAAGCGTGCGTGCGCTCAGAGCAAGTCCCGAGCCCCCGAGCCGGCACCGCTCCGGCCACGGCAGCCTCCCTCCAGGCACAAGGGAGCCCCCTACTCATCTACTGGAGCGTCCCGCCCGGTGTCTCCTCCTCCGCGACCCCAAGCCCCCGGCCCCGCGGCGACGGGAAGCCAGCCTTACCTGCGCGTTGACAGGCGAGCCCATGCTGGAGAAGGAGTCTGCGGGTGAGTGGTAGTAAGAGAGGCTATCCCCGGCCGGGGACGCGCTGCTGCAGCGGGAGGATGACGCCTCGTAGTCTGCGTTGAAGCCCGAGAACATCATCGTGGCGGTTAGGCAAAGCCGGGCGAGGGGCCGAGGGGCGGAGACAGGTGGGCGCTGTGGAGCAGAGCTGGGTAGGAGCACGGTCACTGCTCGTTCGCTGCGCCGCGGCCGCCGGCTCAGTCTTGGCTTCTCAGATGCTCGCTGCAGATGCGGTTGGAGTACGAGGCGCCGCAGCCACTGCTTTTATAACAAGCGTTTTATGAATGAGTGTAAACGTCACGGGCTCAACCACGGTGGCGCCAGAGGGGTGGCGCGCGGGCCTGGGCGCTTCTGCGGCCGCCCGGCTGCGTCCCCAGCGCTCGCAGCTCCCTGCCCCCGCCTTGGCGCGTGTCCTAATCTCGTGAGCATTTCGCAGTTCCTGTCTCAGAGGTCTCGTGGGCCCCCCAAGATGAGGGGTTTCGGGGATGGCTCCCCCCAGGGCTACAGGGAAAGGCCGTGGAAACCTGCTGACGCAGATGTCCTAATATGGACATCCTGTGTAAGGGGGGAGGGATTGACGGGAACTGCTCGCGGGCTGCAGCCAACACCGAGGGTGCAGTGCGGGGGGAGGCGGGGGCCGCGGCTGGGGGAGGGGAGGCGGGAACGGCGCAGAATGAGAGAGAACATTCGCACCTGGTTCAATGCGGACCCTTGTTCCCGAGGTCGGGGGGGATGGGGCAGAGAGCGCCTTTTTACCCTTGTACGGAAACTGAAGACAGTTCTGAGGCTCAGAGATAGGAGAAACGGCATCGAGTACAGGACCCCGAGGACTTAAGCCTCGGCTCCCGAAGGAATGCGCCCCTACCCCCATCCCCAATTCTAGCCCTAATTCAGTGCAAAGCGTGGAAGCAGACCTTCATCCCCTAACCTCCAGCCCTCGGGCTCGAGCAATACTAGCACTGTTCCTGCGTTTGGAAGCAGAAAGTGGAGGATCCAAAATAAGAGAATACGATAACCTACTTTACGATACTGGGTACTTTATTTATTTATTTTTTTAAAGAAGACAGCGCATTTATTTATTTATTTTTCTCGGCCATGTGTGGGAATATTAAGGAAACTGTCAAATCCCTGAGACACCAGCAGATAAACACTGTGCAAAACCTACGTGCGAAGACATTTGAAGGGGGTGTCTGCCCGGTTCTGAGCTGGGCCCCAGGGGTAGGGAGTGCGAGGTGTGGTTATGTGGGCAGGGTGGTCAGTTCGGGATGACAAGGCGGGGTGTGCTTCCTGCGGGGAACTCAAATCTGCGCTGAGGGCTGGTTCGGTCCCGCCAGGAAGCTGTGCTTACGGGAGCCCGCAGCGGGTGATTTTCCAGCGCGGACTTGGAGGGTGGAGGACGGGGGCTGGAAGGACAGTGTCCAGCTGCGCCTGGGCGGAATACCTCGACTGCTGGGACCCCAGGAGCGGCTCCACGTCCTGGAACACGGGGCTTTGGGGAGGCAAGGTGCTCCAGAGTGTGCCACGCCCCCCAATCTCCTGCCCTGCTGCGTAGGACAGCCGGGGTCACGCTGCCGGGGCTCAGCCCCAGCGCGCTGGCCACCTCCAGGGCGCGAAGACGCATGTCCCCGCACAGCCCCGGTCTTCCCTTCTCCACTCTTCGGGCCCGGGGGTCGGGGCCCGCGGTGGGCACCTGGAGAGGGGCGAGGCAGGATGAGGCCGGCGGGCGGATAGTTCGGGGCGCGCGGGGAGCCGGACCGCAGACCTGCCTCCAGCCGCCGCGCCCGGGAGCCAGGAGATCCTGCTATAGATAGTAACAGGGAAGCGGCTGTTTACAGCAACACAGCGCCGCCAGGGCCGTCTCCAGGCAACGCCGCGCGGCCGGGCGCGCCGTCGGCCTGGCGAGGCCACCCTCCCTCCCAGCTCCCCTGGGCCGCGGCCTCCCCGGCCCGGCCGCGGCCGCTCCCGTCGCCTGACATCATCCGCCGGGTCCGGGGGCTGAGCGGCCCGCGCGAGGCTGTGCGCTAACCTCCATTCTTAGAGATCCAACCCGGCAGGAGCGGGGAGGGCAGGAGGCGGGGATTCGTGGAACTGGGCCACTTGCTATTTTTGCATTCCCTGTCACAGGCAGAGGTGAAAACAGAATTTCATCATTGTATGTCATTGGTTTATGTTGGTGGGAATTTAGGCGCTTTTTTTTCTCACTCATAAAAAGGGAGGGAAACGGAAAAACACACATAATACGTAAACACAGATTCCTTGGAGCTGCTCTGAATCCTAAAGCAATTCTGCGGCCTTCGGTACTTCTAATTCTATCCTTGATTACAGAAAGAAAGAGGGGGACGGGAGGGAAAGGGGTTATGAAGCCAAATACATCTCTCTTATTATTAATATTAGCTTCAGACAAAATAGGTCAAGCTTTGAATTCCTGAGTCTGGCCATGACTGCCATTCACAACTAGATCTCAGGCCACTTAACAGGAAACCTGACTGGGTGCGGTGGCTCACTCCTGTAATTCCTGCACTTTGGGAGCCCGAGGCGGGTGGATCACTTGAGGCCAGGAGTTCGAGACCAGCTTGGCCATCATGGTGAAACTCTGTCCCTGCTAAAAATACAAAACAGCCGGGTGTGGTGGCGCACGCCTGTAGTCCCAGCTACTCAGGAGGCTGAGGCAGGAGAATTGCTTGAACCCGGGAGGCAGAGGTTCCTGTGAGCCGAGATCGTGCCACCGCACTCCAGCCTGGGCAACAGAGCAAGATTCTGTCTCCAAAAGAAAAGAAAAGAAAACCTAGAATGATTTGATTTACTTCCCTTTCAGGTCCAAAGCATCTCGGCCAATACCTAAAAGATGTGTCAAGATTTTATATCCAGGATTTATCTCAAATACACTTATCCTGCCTTTGCCAATTAAAAAAAAAAAAAAGAAGAAGGGTCTTTGAGTGAGCCTATTTCCTCCAGATAGCTTAACTCTTTCCTTCTGGCACCATTATGACCAGAGTTGGAGACTTACTAAATCCATCCTCTGGAAAGGACAAACTAAGTCCATCCTCTGGAAAGGACAAACCATTATTTAACAAATAATTTTGTTCAATTATTTATTTAACAAAACTATTGACTGGGCTGGAGGCTGGTGCTCACTGTAATGAAGAGGGTAGGCCTGTCCCGACCCTCAGAGAGATTCCAGTCTCATAGGAAGACCAACAAGTCAATCGAGCTTACAGGGTAGCAGTAAGTGGTTTGAAAGAGGTAAGAAAGGGGTGCCAGGCAACACAGAAGAAGGCTTGGAAACAGGTCCCAGAGGAGGTGACTGCAATACAGAGATGGGGCTCAGATCCTCTGTCCTCTGGATAATGGAATGATAAAGATTGAGTAAGGCCAGAGCATCATCCAGGCAAACCAAGTGCTCAACCAGAAGCCACAGTATAGGCCAATACAATCTCAGACTCCCTCTCCTGCCCCACTAACATCCGAACCTGTGATCATTCTAACATATTCTCACATCTCAATCTGCTCATGGTATCCATTTCAGGACTGCAAAATCACATTCTAAAAAGTGGAGCTCACACAAGGTAGCCTAAAAATGAAGACAAATCAGAACAAACATGTGAAATTATTTTTGCCATTTGCAGATCTGCAGGTCAGGGTGACTTTGAGACAGGTGCTTGTGTGCCTCCGTGAGCACGGCGCTGCCTTCCAACAGGGCAGGGATTTCATGCTCTGGACAAGTCTGAGCATATAAAACCAAAATGTGTGTAGTTCATGATTATCTATGTGCTGAGTTCCTCCTATCTGGGGATCCAAAAGTGAAAAGGAGGGTAGAATTCCACATCTGAATTTTAACCCAAATTGAAAAAAAATTCACTTTCCCTCTACAGTGTTTCCTCATCCGATAGACTTTTCCTACTTTGCACTCTCCCTGTGGCACTTGAAGGAGACCTGACCCCACACTTTTGAAGTCAGTGCACATTGTTTAGCCTGGTGTTATTGCAACATTAAGTGAAAGGCTGCTGTCTGTACCGCCTACGTAAATGCTGCCGCACACAGCCCATCCCCAGCATGCAGAAGTAGTTGTTTATTTGGGGAAGTCTGGTCTAGTGGTGAAGGGTTGTGGTCAAAGCACGGGACCAGAAGTCAGGAAGATGCATATACCGAAATCAACTTAGACTTGTTTGGTAACTTTTCGCCTTTGTCTTGTTCATGTGCTGATATTCACTTAGGATCTAGCACAGTGCCTGAAACATAGTAGGTGTTCAATAAATACCCCTTTTCTTTTTCTTTTTCTTTCTTTTTTTTGAGACAGGGTCTCACTCTGTTACCCAGGCTGGAGTGCAGTGGTGTGATTATAGCTCACTGCAGCCTTGAACTCCTAGGCTCAATGCCCCTACCTCAGCCTCCCAAGTAGCTAGGACCACAGGCACATACCACCATGCCCAGCTAATTTTTTATTTTTTGTAGAGATGGGGTCTCGCTATGTTGCCCAGGCTAGCCTTAAGCTCCTGGCCTCAAGTGATCCTCCCACCTCTGCCTCCCAAAGTGCCGAGATTACAGGCGTGAGCCACCAGGTCTGGCAATAAATATCTCTTGAATGGATGAATGAATGCATGTCCTCATCCAGCCAAGGTGAATGTAGACGGTTGTGCTTTTTGGGTACTTAGAAAGCAAATAGATAATGTTCTTTAAATCTTTGGAAAGGCTGAACAGGCTCTTTTATTCTGGGATATGAATAGGCAAAAATTGGGAAAGACAAAATTACAAGATGTTTGGGCTATTTTCAGCTGGTACAGCCTCTGTGTATAAAGAACACCCCAGTGGTTCATGATGAAAGATCAAACTTACCCTTGTTCCTGAGCCCCATGAGAAAGACAGCTAGTGCCCATATATAAATACCACATTGTCTGCAATGACAATGACCATGTTACCACTACCCTTTAATTTATTCATTCTAAATGTCTGGACCCAACAAGAGAAAGAGGCATTCCACAATTCCTGTGGGACTCACACACACGTGAGCCCAGTGAAGGGTCTTAGGAGGTCGAGGTTACTCATTCGATGGCTCAGACCGTGAGCAAAAAGATTGCCCCTATTTAGAACACTGGAGGCACAAGATTACCATGCCACCCCCCCCCCACACACACACACATGCCACTACTGCAACTAATTAGTACTAGAGATTTAGCCTCTTTGAGAAAAACTGTTTTTTCCTTCTGAACAACTCTTGGCTTTTTGACAGGAGAGGATGATTCAATGGGATCCCCGTCCTTCTGCTAATGTGAGCATTTAAACAAAGCTCTGTGTGGTCCCTGAGACATGCTCCATCTGGAGCTGAGGAAACTGGGGAACAGTGGCAGTGCCAAAGACAGGCACACTGCAGCCCAAGCCTGAAACATCTTTTGCAGCCACCAGCAGTATGGGAAACTGGTTCTGTCAGTGTTGCAGAATCTTGCTTTAGAAACAAGTGCTCCCTACCAGCAGACAAGCACAGCTTCTCCAGGCTGTCAGCTCCTCCGATGTCCTGAGCTGACCTTCTGCAGCTCCGGCGGACTTAGCTGCTGAAATTCCAAAGGAACCCCGTCGACGTCACTAAACCTACAGGACAAAAACACACCCCAAGAAACCTCAATTCCAGGGCTCCCATCCAATGAGAAAAATCTCATAATCACCATGTGCAGGGCCAGGGGTGGCTAGAAGAAGCTGCCACATGACGCGATTCGAGGTGTTAAGACATCTTCAGCAGAGGTCACACCATGTCATCCATGACCTTACTCTTACTCAACAAGACAAATCTTTTTTTTCTCTCTCTCTCCCTATACTGAAAAGTTGCAAAGGACAGATTTTATTTATTTATTTATTTTTTGAGACTGAGTCTCACTCTGTCGCCCAGGCTGGATTGCAGTAGCATGATCTCGGCTCACTGCAACCTCCACCTCCCCAGTTCAAGCGATTCTTGTGCCTCAGCCTCCCAAGTAGCTGGGATTACAGGCGCCCACCACCACGCCTGGCTAATTTTTGTATTTTTAGTAGAGATGGGGTTTCACCGTGTTGGCCAGACTGGTCTCGAACTCCTGACCTCAGGTGATCTGCCGGACTTGGCCTCCCAAAGTGCTGGGATTACAGGCATGAGCCACACCACCCGGCCACAAAGGACAGATCTTTAAAAGAGACATTGGCCATTGTAATGCCAAAGAAATTCCCCTTTCCCAAACCAGGAAAATACTGACTAGTATGTATGAATTCATTTAGGCTGCCCTCTGATCTAGAACTCGTAATTTCATCCTCAGATGTGACAACTTTTTGTCTTAGTTTAGTACATGATTGTGTTCCAAAAGAAAACTTTCTATTGTAACTCCCAGGTGAGGTCTGATTTCTCCACGGATGTTTTATTACTCTGGAGTACTGAGTTAGAGATTGATGGTGAAATTCCCAAAATGACTCTTCTGAAGAATTCCATCTTTAAACTCTGGCCCATCCCAGACTGTGAGGTAATCAGTTAGGACAAGGGCAGATTATACACTGGCAGAGTCTACTCTCCCACCTCGGGGGGCTCTGAATTAAATCAGAACACCAAACAGAACTGTTATCCCCCCAAACCTGTTTAGAGGTCAGTTTACAGAATGACACTTAGATAAAAATCTACACTTCTTATGAGGATTCCCAGTCCACAGGCTTCAGCCTCTGCCTTGCCTTCCAACCTTACCTTGAACCACTTTCCTGCACTCCACTCCAGCTACATTGGCCTTTCTCTCCCTCAAATATGCCAAGCTGCTTCTGCCTCTGGGCCTCTGTACCCACTCTTCCCTCTTCCTCACAGACCTTGACAAGTTGACTCTTCCTCCTGACCAACATCTGCTCAAATGTCACCTTCTCCAGGAAGCCCCTCCTGTCTTCCCCATCCATTGTTGCAAACTCCTTTGCCCTTCAGTCACTTTCTGTCATGTTACCTGGTTTTCTTTTCTATCTAGCACTTATCACTACATTACCCTGTCCATTTATGTACTGTTTCATTGCCATCGTCAACTAGTCCGTAAGCTCCACAAGAGCAGGGACCTTATCTGTCTTATTTAGCAGTTATCTATCCTCAGTACCATGCTTCCTGACACCAAGGCACTCAAATCCTTGTAGAATAAACGTATATTTTTATTTTTGTTTATTTATTTTTTTGAGACAGGGTCTCACTCTGTCACCCAGGCTAGGATGCGGTCGCTCACTGCAGCCTCGACCTCCTGGGCTCAGGCGATCATCTTGCCTCAGCCTCCCAAGTAGCTGGGACCACAGGCATGGGCCACCAAGCCCGGCTACTTTTTTTTATTATTTGTAGAGATGGGGTCTCACTATATTGTCCAGGCTGGTCTCGAACTCCTGGGCTCAAGCAATCCTCCCACTTTGGCCTCCCAAAGTATTGGGATTCTGGGCGTGAGCCACCGTGCCTGGCCTATGAATAAATGTTAAACAGAGGTTCATCAGTTATTGTCCTTGTGACGGAGAAGGCAGCATGGATTCCCTTTCTGGACAGAGAGCTTTGATGGGTGGTTTATTACCTCTATCCTTCTCAGGTTAGGAAACCAAAATCCTAGTCAGCAATTTCTTTTTTTTTTTTTTTTTTTGAGACAGAGTCTCGCTCTGTCGCCCAGGCTGGAATGCAGTCTGCAACCTCTGCCTCCCAGGTTCAAGCGATTCTCTTGCCTCAGCCTCCCGAGTAGCTGGGATTATAGGCATGTGCCACTATGCCCAGCTAATTTTTTTTTTTTTTTTTTTTTGAGACAGAGTCTTGCTCCGTTGCCGAGGCTGGAGTGCAGTGGCACCAGCTTGGCTCACTGCAACCTCCGACTCCTGGGTTCAAGCAATTATCCTGTCTCAGCCTCCTGAGTAGCTGGGATTACAGACAGGCACCACCACGCCTGGCTAATTTTTTGTATTTTTAGTAGAGACGGAGTTTCACCATGTTGGTCAAGCTGGTCTCAAACTCCTAACCTCAGGTGATCCACACGCCTCAGCCTCCCAAAGTGCTGGATTACAGGCGTGAGCCACCGCGCCTGGCCTAATTTTGTATTTTTAGTAGAGACAGGGTTTTTCCATGTTGGTCAGGCTGGTCTCGAACTCCTGACCTCAGGTGATCCGCCTGCCTGGGCCTCCCAAAGTGCTGGGATTACAGGCGTGAGCCACTATGCCCAGCCCCTAGTCAGCAATTTTCTTATCGGGCATAATTTAGATGCTTATAAACCCAAGGGGTATACCCATCCTTAGAACTACAAAGACCCATCACACCTGCTGTCTAAATGTTTCCACATAATCACTTCTTGGCCTTTTGGCTAAGATCAAGTGTAGTAAATGTTTCCACTACCTACCGCACAAGATCGTACGGGATGCTTTAGTTTTAAATCCACAACCACCCCACCCCAAAACAATGATTAGCACAATGAGAAACTTTACCTGAGGTTGGTTACACCCCAGATCCTTTCTTTTACACAAATTTAGCCTAATTCAAAATGAATTTTTTTTTTTTTTTTTTTTTTTTTTTTTTTTTGTCAGAGTCTCACTCTATCACCTAGGCTGGAGTGCAATGGCGCGATCTCGGCTCGCTGAAACCTCCGTCTCCTGGGTTCAAGCAATTCTCCTGCCTCAGCCTCCCAAGTAGCTGGGATTACAGGAGCACACCACCACGTCCTGCTAATTTTTTGTATTTTTATAGAGAAGAGATTTCGCCATGTTGGCCAGGCTGTTCTTGAACTCCTGACCTCAGGTGATCCACCCACCTCAGCCTCCCAAAATGCTGGGATTACAGGCATGAGCCACCATGCCCGGCCAAGAAACTTTTTAGAAAATATGTGTGCATAAAAGTAAAAATCTAACCAATTTTTAGTTTAAAAGTGCTGGCCACAGGGCCACAGTAAACATTTATGGCCCTAATAGTGAAATGATTATGGTGTCCTTTCAAGTAATTAAAAACAAAAGCAACACTGCGTTGTAAAATACATTTTTATTTAAAAAAGTAAAACTCATCCGGGTGCAGTGGCTCACGCCTGTAATCCCAGCACTTTGGGAGGCTGAGGGAGGCAGATCACTGGAGGTCAGGAGTTCAAGACCAGCCTGGCCAACATGGTGAAACCCCCGTCTCTACTAAAAACATAAAAAATTAGCCCAGTGTGATGGTGGGCACCTGTAATTCCAGCTACTTGGGAGGCTGAGGCAGGAGAATCGTTTGAACCCAGGAGGCAGAGGTTGCAGTGAGCTGAGATCGCGCCACTGTACTCCAGCCTGGGCGACAGAGCAAAACTGTCTCAATAAGTAAGTAAGTAAATAAATAAATAATAAATAAGGAAAACTCATAAGTATGCTGAAATAATGCCCGGATGTAAGTTCCATGAGGGAAAGAGACATTACTGTTTCCCCGTTGCCAGATCAGTGCCTGACACAATACTAAGCCTTCAGTCAATAGAATAATGAATACAGCTTTCTGATTTCTTTCTTGAATGCCCCCCACCCCTGCCCCAGAATGTGCTTAGTTGGTTTCTTGGGCAGCCCAGCAATGACTGGGCACGTGGCTGGGGCCAGGTCAGTATTTGTCAATTGTTTGGATCGCACAGAACTGTGCTCACATACCACAGGCTCAGCTGAGGCCAGCATATAGAACCTACAACAGGAGCTGATCTGGCAGCTATAAACAGAACACCACACACCTGCCGGCTTCAGATTGGTTAGCATAGAGGGCTGGGCTGGGCCCACAGGATTCTTCATTTAAATCATTTGGCAGAACCATTCTATTCCTTTCTCCAGATTCATCAGGTGGCTGGGAATACATCATGAGTTACCTGCCCAGAGGGTTTCTGCGGGTGAAGAATCTTTGCTTTCACCTGGACTTTGCTTGCAGTGAATGGGAAACTTCACAGCAGGTGAGGAATTGGGAGTTCCTTTGCTACTAGTACTTTGATATCCAAGGCAAGTTTGTTTGAACCTGGGGCTTCATCCAGCTGATGTCTGTCTGAGCTTAGAATTTGGAAAAGAAGGAAGTAAGAGGTTATGAAATAGGCTGGGGAAATGGAAGAAAAAAAAAAAAAGTTCTTCAACTAGCACTCTACTCATTGGCCCACGAAATCAACGGTTTCACCAAACAACAGCTCCAAGCCCCAGGTCATAATTTCTATACTTCTTACCCATTTCTGGCCCATATGGTAAAATGACCAGAGAATAATGCAGAAAGCTGAGGAATTTCAGATTAAGATGTTTTAGATTTACATTTAGATAAGAGCAGCCCTGAGGCATTTATTTCACACATCTAGTTTGAGATTAATTCAGTCGTATTCTTATCAGATATCTCTAGCCTGCTTTCTATTTTTCCATTGGTTTCAGAATTCTTTCCAGGAAAGAAATGACTTTCACATACCTCAAAATATTATTACCTTGTATAAGGGTCAGAAAAAAACCAATTACCTACAGTTACTTTGTATGGACGCTGCAAAGTTAATCCCTTCTTAACTCAAATTGTACAAAGTCAATTATCCTATTCCTTGCTACTCATTCATCACTTTTATTGAGCACCTACTATGTACCAGTCACTAGACTCCACAGTAAACAGGCAAGCTTCCTACCAACATGAAGCTTATAGTCCAGTAATGAATTAATAAGAAAACAAAAATGTCAGATAAAAGTAAGTAAGTGCTGGGCAGGTAATTTTTTTGTTTGTTTTTTGTTTTTTGAGACAAAGTCTTGCTCTGTCGCCCATGCTGGAGTGCAGTGGCACGATATTAGCTTACTACAACCTCTGCCTCACCAGTTCAAGTGATTCTCGTGCCTCAGCCTCCCGAGTAGCTGGGTCAACAGGTGTGCACCACCAAACCCAGCTAATTCTGGTATTTTTAGCAGAGACAGGGTTTCACCATGTTGGCCAGGCTAGTCTCGAACTCCTGACCTCAAGTGATCTGCCCACCTTGGCCTCCCAAAGTGCTGGGATTACAGGTGTGAGCCAACATGCCCAGCCTTGGGCAGGTAATTAAAATGGAAGAATATGTTGTGAAGAAGTGTGTTGCTACTTTGGACTGGGTAGAAGAAGGAGACAATTTCCATGAGAAGCAAATGATAGCAAGGAACTAGCCATGGAAGAACAAGGAGCAGGGTATTCAGGGCAGAGGAGATGCTTCCCAATGTAAGGTTATGTACTGAGAAACATAAGTGCCAATGCCCCCACACCTTTGAAACCAGCCGTCTTTGCAAGGTGCACCTCAAACCCTACTGCCTGACTTACCAACAGCAATCTCCTCCTCCCTCCAGATCTTTGGATCAGTGCTACTAAATGTAAAAAGTTCCCAGCTACTCCCAGCTCACTTTCCTCCCTAGCTGTCCCTACACTTCCAACAGGATATGGATAGTTGTATTTTATTCTCACTCAATTACAGCCCATCTAGATCCTTCTTATACGTAGCTCCACACTAATGTTGATGATTGGTAAGAACTCTCTCAAAAGCTTAGAGTCTTAAGTGAAATCACTGAAAAATAGTGAAGTAAATCACCGACACCAGGCTTGGAGGTCTTCCAGGGCCCTTTTTTACAGGAATTTGAAAACAGGCACATTCCATTGTGTCCTTTGTTAGAGAGCTGTTGACAATAAACAGAGTTCAGAATTTGTGCTGTAAAACAGCAAACAGTGAACAAACCAAGGCTTTCTCAAACAGGGCCCTACTTTCCTGGATTCTGCTGATCCTTACACAGGATTTAAGCCTGTATATTTGAGAAGTTTATGGGAAACTAGACTCTCAAAGCATTTGCTTCTCAAATTCTTTGTTATTTTGACTGCACTGGAGACTATTCCACAAGCCACTATCAGAATCCACCCATCTCTGGTTCCCGTAAATATTATGTCTACACAGAACTATGTGAACTATTTCTAAGCTAGAATATGAACCAGGGCTTGAAAGCTTGCTGGTGGAAATGACCTAAGAAGAGCTTTAAAACTTAAATTAGAGAAAATTCAGTAGCAAAGGAAAAGTGGGCTAAAGGATTATGTGCATGTTTGTAGCTCAGAAGCTAGTTCAACTCTCAAAGATTGATTATTCAGCCCACCCTAGATTATTTAAATCCAGCAGCAAATGTATGCTGACATATTTCTGGGGGCCCTAGGGTGACACTCACTAAGGCAAGTAAAAGAAGCTGAAGTCAATTCCCAGAGAGGTGATTCCTTTTTTTTTTTTTTTTTTTTTTGAGACGGAGTCTCGCTCTGTCACCCAGGCTGGAATGCAGTGGCATGATCTCAGCTCACTGCAACCTCTGCCTCTTAGGTTCAAGCAATTCTTCGTGCCTCAGCCTCCCAAGTAGCTGGGATTACAGGCGCACACCACCACACCTAGCTACAGAGAGGTCATTCCTAGCGTAGTTGGGACTGATTGTTCCAGGTAATGGGGACCAAGGGAAGCTGAGGTGGCAACTGCCAACTGTCAGTGATTCCTGAGAAGGCAAAAACTAGGCAGCTGCTGCCATGCATCCTGGAGCTGAGAACTAAATTCAATCTGATTGGGAATGTCTTTAAAAGAGAGGCAGGGTTGGGGGAGAGAGAGAGAGGCAGGATCTCCCTATATTGCCCAGGCTGGTCTTGAACTCCTGGGCTCAAGCAATCCTTCCACCTCCGCCTCCCAAAGTGCTGGGATTACAGGCATGAGCCACTGCACCCGGCCTGATTGCAAACTTCGGATGCAGGAATCTCCTCTCATCTTTGGCAGTCCTGTCCTCTAGAACGTTTGTGAAAAGGCATGGAACATGGAATTAAATATGAGCTACTAGCATTATACATATGTTCTCTGCCTCCACCTCCCACTCTTCGTCTCAGTTCAGCCTACTTTTTATCTAGATCTCAAACTTAAAATGTCACATCCACATAAAGGACTTTCCCCAGCAGCCAGGCTGAATTAGGAACCTTTTAGAAGCCCTCATTCCACCCTAGGCTTTTCATGATTAGCACTTACCACCATTTCTAGTAATACATTTATTTAGAAAGCATTTGGGCTAATTTCTAAAAATTAAGTTCCACAAGAGTAGGGATCTTTGTTTTATTCACTGATGTACCCCCAAGGAGTTAGAGAAGCCTGATCCTAATAGCTGTTAATTGTTGAATTAAATGAATTCATTTAATGTCTATCTCCCCACTCCAAGAAGGCAGACACCTTGCCTATTTTACTCATCAATGACTCTCTAGCCCCTAACACAGTATCTGGCATATAATAGCTGCTCAAAAAATACTTCTTGAATAAAGAGAAATAATGATAGCTAATATTTATTGAGTGCTTGCTCAGGAATTATGCGAAGTGCTTTACAAATATTGTTATGGTTTTTGTTGTTGTTTTGTTTTGAGACGGAGTCTCACTCTGTCACCCAGGCTGGAGTGCAGTGGCGCAATCTCAGCTCACTGCTACCTCCACCTCCCGGTTCAAGCGATTCTCCTGCCTCAGCCTCCTGAGTAGCTGGGATTACAGGTGCCCGCCACAATGCCTGGCTACTTTTTTTGAGATGGAGTCTCACTCTGTCACCCAGGCTGGAGTGCAGTGGCATGATCTCAGCTCACAGCAACCTCTGCCTCCCAGGTTTAAGCGATTCTCCTGCCTCAGCCTCCCGAGTAGCTGGGATCACAGGCACCCACCACCACACCCGGCTAATTTTGTATTTTTAGTAGAGACAAGGTTTCTCTATGTTGGTCAGGCTGGTCTCGAACTCTCAACCTCAGGTGATCTGCCCACCTCGCCCTCCCAAAGTGCTGGGATTACAGGTGTGAGCCACCATGCCCGGCCTACTTTTTGTATTTTTTTTAGTAGAGACAGGGTTTTACTATGTCGGCCAGGCTGGTCTCAAACTCCTGACCTCAAGGAATCCTCCTGCCTCGGTCTCCCAAAGTGCTGGGATCACAGGTGTCAGCCACCGCACCCAGCCTTGTTATGTTATTTAATATTCACCACGATTCAATGATGTAGGTATATTATTCCACTATTTTGGTTGAATAGGTTCAATAATTTTTTTTTTTAGTAGAGATGGGATCTCACTATGTTGCTCAGGCTGATCTCAAACTCCTGGCTCAAGCAAATTTTCCCACCCCAGCCTCCCAAAGTACTGGGATTACAGGCGTGAGCCACCACACCCAGCCAATTCAATATAATTTTTAAAATAATGATCTTATAATTTTCTAATCCACACCATATAATTGGGCTAAATATTTCCCCAGTGTAGTTGATAGTGCTCTGGTGACCTGCATAAGTAAATTTATTTCCCTAAGTACCTACCAGGGAATGACTAATAAGAGAGAAACTCAGGGCCAGGTGCAGTAGCTCACGCCTGTAATCCCAGCACTTTGGGAGGCCCAGGCGGGTGGATCACCTGAGGTCAGGAGTTTGAGACCAGGCTGACCAACATGGTGAAACCCCATCCCTACTAAAAATACAAAAATTAGCTGGGCATGATGGTACGTGCCTGTAGTCTCAGCTACTCGGGAGGCTGAGGCAGGAGAATCGCTTGAACCTGGGAGGCCGAGGTCGGCAGTGAGCCAAGATCGCACCATTGCACTCCAGCATGAGCAACAGAATGAGACTCCATCTCAAAAAAAAAGAGAGAAACTCAATCTCATGGGCCTTAATTATGCTAATGTTGCTTGGAATTAAAATATAGGCTCAGCTTCTAGAGACATTGGGCTTTGGAGAAAAATTTATCTATGTTGTGCTGGTTGCATTGGGTTCATATGCAACCACAGAAAATATAGAATGCTTCCAGTTTTGCTAGGGGACACTGGAGGCAGGAAAACAGTATGCGCCAAATCTTGCCCAAGATGCTGGTTAAACCTGCTTTGCCAGCGTCTCCTGTACCTACCTGGGACACCAGCTGGAAGGCAGGTTTGTTCCCTCCTCTGGGAGGAACCATGCCAGTCCCTAACACTCTGCCCCATCTGATCTGGCTAGATCAGGCTTTGGGAAGTCAACAATCCCACCTCGCCAGGTAAAACCAGAAGTGTTCAGGTGGTGCAGCATGGTCCCAGCAAGGAATGGACTCACTGAAAACAAACTGATCTGCCCAGAGTGGAAGTAATTCCAAGAGAATTATTCAAAGTATTATATTCCCCATATCAGAACCCATTCTGGTGAGATTATGTTACTCTCCTTTAACAAAGAAACTGGTGACCCAAAGAAGCATCGTGTGAGAAGTGGTCATCTTATCAGGAACATTAATTCTTGAGTTAAATTTTTACCTCTCCTTGATTTCTCTATCTGCTCTTTGTCACTGTCAGCACCACCCCATAAATACTGAAGAAGAAACAGGAGTGTCCAAGGTAAATAGGAAAAATAAAGACAAAGCAGGGAATTTGCATACAGCTACATATCTTTGATTTAAAAGGACTATCCTTCAGTTTTAAATAATGTCCTTTTTTTTTTTTTTTTTGAGACAGAGCCTTGCTCTGTCATGCAGGCTGCAGGCTGGAGTGCAGTGGTGCGATCTTGACTCACTACAACCTCTTCCTCCCACTTTCAAGTGATTCTCCTGCCTCAGTCTCCCAAGTAGCTGGGATTACAGGCGTGCACCACCACGCCCGGCTACTTTTTGTATTTTTAGTAGAGGTGGGGTTTCTCCATGTTGGCCAGGCTGGTCTCGAACTCCTGACCTCAGATGATCCACCTGCCTAAGCCTCCCAAAGTGCTGGGATTGCAGGTGTGTACCACCGTACCCAGCCAGATAATGTCCTTTTGACTTTTTTAGTGTTAAAATGTCTTCTCATTTATGAAATGATAGTGATAATAAGTAGTAATTGTTGTTCGGTAAAATTCAAAGTTGGCAACCCATGTCAATTCCCAAACTTGTAAAAAAAACTTTGCTTGCCCCTATAGTATATGGGAGTCTCTGGATGACTGCAGTGGTGTCTTCGGAGGTTTTAGGTGAGGATGGGGAGAAGCATTTCCCCCCTCATCTGTGAGTGGAACTACGGGTCTGCTGGGTGGGTTCCGAGGGTCCTGTGTCAGCAACTGGTACACCATGAAGGTTGACTTTGACTAAAATGAATAATCTCTAGGATTCCAGCATCTCATTTCTCAGACCTACCCAAGAGCCCAGTGCACCTGTCTGGTGCCATCTCACCTGTCGGGGAGGAACATGTCTGGTAATGTAATTTACATTAAATTTCAGGAGCCTACTGCTCACAAGAGAATTTGTCTTTTAAGAGTAGGACCCAAAGGGAATGGCAAATGCTTAATCCAAAGAAATATATTGCTGATGATGGAATTTTAGGGACAGTGAGGGAGCATTCCTTGGCATAGGGCATATCAAATCACATAGATGGGCATTTATCCAGTCTCTCTATGAATTACATCTCTTGACACTTGACCTTGACACTGCTCCATTTACAGACCACCTCATCTTGCAGAATATTTTTAAACTTTAAAATACCCTCTGACTTACGGTTTTTGAAGCCCTTCCACAAGCATGACCTAGTATGACCCTCCTAACAGTCCCGAGAGGTAAGGAGGCCAGGTAGCAACATCTCCTTTTTTTTTTTAGAAGGAATTTCGCTCTTGTTGCCCAAGCTGGAGTGCAATGGTGCAATCTTGGCTCACTGCAACCTCCACCTCCGGGGTTCAAGCAATTCTCCTGCCTCAGCCTCCCAAGTAGCTGGGATTATAGGCATGTGCCACCACACCTGGCTAATTTTTTGTATTTTTAGTAGAAATGGGGTTTCACCATGTTAGCCAGCATGAGTGGAAGAGTGAATTCTATCATGGCTGAGATGTGAAGGAGGATAGTGTGAACCTGGGCCTTGAAAGGCCAGGTAGGTCACAGCTCCTACACATCCTGGCCTGGGCCAAGGCCTCTTCTTTGCCAGGGAAACCTGGCAAGTGGAGGCTTCACTCAGCACTAAGATGGAGAGGTGTTGAGGGAAAATATACCCACAAATAATAATCAAGCATTTATGCAGCATTTAGTATTTCCACACCACCAACTAATAATCACTGTATCATTGCAATCCTCTTGGGTCAAAGCAAACGTGTGGGGTCAGTGAGTTGTCCAGACCCCATTTTATAGATGAGGAAATAGGTTGGGGAAATTAATCATCTTGTGGTTTAAGGAAGTCAGCAACATAGAAGGACATCATGGTCCTTATGTTGAATCTGGTCATCTAAACAGAGAGGCTCAGCCGAAACACAAGGCAGCAAAAGAATATGCATGTGTGTGCGCATGCAAGCATATATGAAACAAACTGCTTCTCACGATACAATCAAAACGATATCTATTTGGTATTTCCTAGACTAAAAATTCGCTGGGTCCCACATCATGGCCCATGACCATGTTTGGGTCAAACAAAAAGAAAGAACTGGCCTGGCCGGCTGTGGTGGCTCACGTCTGTAATCCTAGCACTTTGGGAGGCTGAGGCAGGTGGATTGCCTGAGCTCATGAGTTCAAGACCAGCCCGGGGAACACGGTGAAACCCCGTCTCTACTAAAAATACAAAAAATTAGCCGGGCGTGGCAGTGTGCACCTGTAATCCCAGCTACTCGGGAGGCTGAGGCAGGAGAATTGCTTGAACCTGGGAGACGGAGGTTGTAGTGAGCCGAGATTGCGCCATTGCACTCCAGCCTGGGTGACAGAGCGAGATTCCATTGAAAGGAAGGAAGGAAGGAAGGAAGGAAGGAAGGAAGGAAGGAAGGAAGGAAGGAAGGAAGGAGGGAGGGAGGGAAAGGAGAGAGAAAGAAAAAAAAGAAAGAACTGGCCAGGCGCGGTGGCTCACGCCTGTAATCCCAGCAGCACTTTGGGAGGCCAAGGTGGGCAGATCACTTGAGGTCAGGAGTTCAAGACTAGCTTGGCCAATACGGCAAAACCCTGTCTCTACTAAAAATACAAAAATTAGCCAGACGTTGTGGCAGGCGCCTGTATTCCCAGCCACTTGGGAGGCTGAGGCAGGAGAATCACTTGAACCTGAGAGGTGGAAGTTGCAGTGAGCCAAGATCCTGCCACTACACTCCAGCCTGGGTGACAGAGCAAGACTCTGTCTCAAAAAAAAAAAAAAAAAAAAATTCTAAGACTGGGAGATGGAGAAGGACATGGAAATTTGGAGGTTATAACTGATGCCCTTGGACAGAATCATAAAATGGGTTCATATGCTAGAATCAAATCTAGGCACTTAGATATTCTGTCATCTTTCACCTTCCTCCCCTCTTCTTCATCCACACTGAGAAAATGCCCTCAGTCACCTCTTCCAGCTTTTCAGGTCATCTTCAATGTACAGTGTAAATATTATCTCGTTATTCCTCTTTCAGTGTAACCCAGATATATTGGCTCTCAGAGACCAAGACATGCTATATTCCTGGAAACATAAAGAGAGATGATAGAATTAGAAGGGATGTTTGATGGTCTAAAATGGATCTTATATCCGACTTTCAAATATTCCCTGGCAGTGTCAGGACAGAAGGGAGACTAGCCTAGCAATTTAATATATTTACTGGGTAAATAGTAAGCACTTGCAGTCCCTGACTTAATCAGAATGAAGTTCATTACGATAAAGAGCTGTGCCCTTTGGTCCTGTTTGCATTAAGCAGGCTCTTAATTTCATTTAATTTCACTACATCTCTGAAGGAAATTATAGGCTATAAGGCTAGCCAAAGAGTCGGAGGGGAGGACAGATAGCAAGCATATCCACCAGAGGAGATAGAGGAAAGGAGGTAGTGGGCTAAGATTAGAGCATAGAGGACAGAGATTCCCCTTATCAACCCCAATCTATGAAACTAATTTTACTTTCTTGTTTTTAACTTGACGTTTGTATCAGTCTCTCTCTTTCTCTCTGGGTTTTAGAAACATGTTATCAGGTCATCTAAACCTTTTATGAAACATTTCAGACTTGTACGTGCATGAGCTGGTGAAGATTTATTATATTTGACACCATAACTACAGATTTTAAGGCATTCTTTTAAGCGCAACTTGACTGAAACCCCTGAGGCTAGATCGCTATCTTTTGCCAGATGTTAACTTGGTTTCACTGATGGAAACCCAGGGTAAGGTTAAAACTGTTTCTGGACACATTCGTACCTTGGAATGTTTAACTCCATCAGTATATTAGTATTAGATATCAAGAAACCTGGGCTCTTGATCTGTGTTCATCTCTGTCTTCAATTTCTTTCTGTTTCTATTGGAGAAATCAAATGGTCCCCCCGATTTGAATTAAAACAGGCGGAGAGGAAAGAATAAGATCCAATGAGCCCATAAATAGAAGTACCCACCCAGGTCCTTTGGGATTCTTTGGTATCTATTCAGGTTACAAGAAATCTGCCCATCTCTGGGTGGGAATACGGATAAATGATGTCATTCAACAGAATTAGGACCAGACGGGGAAATGTATCCAAATCCTGCAGGGGGTAGCACTGAATGCAGGCTTTAGATATGGAAAGGCCTCCGAGTGCTCTCAAGCATAAACAAGAGTAACCGTGAAGGCAACACAGTTTCTGGGATGTGACTGAGAGGGTAACGGCACTTCTGAGATGTGCTGGGGGGTGGGAGCAGGGGTTATAACACCAAATATTGGGTTGTGACAGACGCCGGGCATGAGGGCCATAATTCCCACAATGGACTAGAGCACAGTGGAACTATGTCATCTGCTGGGCTGTAATCGGTAGGAGCAAGCTGCACGTTCAGCACGTTTTCTCCTGGATCCCATCCTTGGCGACCGATCTAGACCTCAGCCTCCAGGATCTGTTAGAGAAATAAACAAGTGGGAGACAACAACCAAAACAGCAACACAGTCGAGCGGGCGCGGGAGACGAAGCTCCGCCTTTGGAAGCCTCGGGCCAATCAGAAGCCTGTTGCTGGGGCCCGGTGTTTGGCCGCCTGACGTTCCCATGGAGACGGAAGAACGTTACACACCAAACACTGGCGACGTTGACGTCTATGCATTATATCCATGGAGACGACAGAGTAAACGTCATCCCCCCACACTTCCCCGCCTCCCTTAGCGCCAGGGGCTGAGGGAGCGACGCAGGCGTCGCCGTCACGTGCTGGACGCCAGGAGCGAAGCCCGGTGGGCGGGGCCTGTTGCTATGACTGCAGCTGCGGCTGTTTGGAGCTGCAATTAGAAAGTGCTGAGGTGGCAGTGGAGCCAGAACCGATTCTGGAACAGCTTCTCCCGCCCCCGGGCCAGAGAGGGTTCCCCAGCCCCTGGAAAGCCAGGACACCCCCTAGGCTGTCCCAGCACGCCTCAGCCTCAGGTCCTGAGCCAACATCTCTCTGCGCTGCCTGTGAATCCAGACTGTGACTCCAGACTGAGGGCCAAACCGAGACCACTCCCTCCACCGTCAGTTGGCCATAATTGTCAGGGTGACCTCCCCGACCGACCGTCTCCACCGACCGTCTCCTCCAGACAGCAGCCCACAGAACAGCCACCGACCAAACTGCCTTGCCCATGAGACAGGAGCAAAACCAGCTTAGAAAACTTTCCCACTGTTGGAGTAAAACCCAGAATTCTCCCAGAAAGGAGAAGCATAAGGAACTTTGAATTTATCTTTTATACTTTAAAAGCAGCAGAACTTGAGACATTCATTCCTCGGAGCTTTGTTGAAGAATTGAGGAAGGGGTGCTTAATAATCCCATTCAAGAATAGTTCCTCTGGAAGGGAGAGAAAACTCAGAAATCCCTGAGTACTGTGATACTCCAAAATGGGAAGGCCTGGAAAAACCTAGGTCATTAAAAACTGAAGCTTAAATTTCTACATTGCTTAATTTTGTCTCAACTGCACAAGCCAACAGAGTGTGAGAAATCTCTCTGCGTGCCAGCCTCCCTTTTCGTCACACAACTCTGGAAACAGTTATAGGAAGATTGCAGCAACAAATTGTAAACAAAACCAGGTCAAGAAACAGAGGAGAGGGCCAGGCAGGGTGGCTCAGGCCTATAATCCCAGCACTTTGGGCAGCTGAGGCAGGTGGATCACCTGAAGTCAGGAGTTCAAGACCAGCCTGGGCAACATGGCGAAACCTCCTCTCTAATTAAAAAATAAAAAATAAAAATAAAAATTAGCCAGGCTTGGTGGCGGGCGCCTGTAATCCCAGCTACTCGGGAGGGTGAGGCAGGAGGATCGCTTGAAACCAGGAGGCGGAGGTTGCAGTGAGTCAAGATCGCGCCACTGCACACTCCAGCCTGGGCGACAGAGCGAGACTCTGTCTCAAAAAAAAAGAAGAAAGAAACAGGAGTGAAAAGTTGAGATGACCATGTGAAGCCAGCCAACCTGAACAAAATGTAACTTTTGAATGATAAGGCACAGCTGAGCGGCCCAGACTTTGAATTTTCTCCAAATATCATGATCTTCCATCCTGGCTGAATTTAAATGGTGTCTTTTGTATTTGGGGGAAAGCAGAGGGGATATTATTTGCTGGAATTAAAAGCAAGCCATTTGGGTGAGCACATAGTCTGTTGCAGATGGTGGAGGCATAAAGAGGGATTTCATGTAAATGAATGGCATTCGGAGTTGGCCTGGGCTTTCTGCATTCCTCCACCAACACATATCCAATCCCATTGTCTATCTCTGAGAAATCAGCACCTCAGGGTCCCTTCCCTGTTACTCCATAGTAGCCCTCCCTGGGCCCCCATTCAGATATTTTGCCACCTGTCCACAGAGCATATCCGTTGCCTTTCAACATTCCCTTGCTCCATCCTCTGACCTACCTATTACTCACTTCCCCGACATCCTTCCCTAAACACTTCTTGACTCCCTTCCCACTCAATTGCCACTCCCCAGGATTTTACCCAGTTGATCATTGCTCCCCAAACCCTTGCCCCATCCACTCATCCCCACCATAAAGTTTTTCATGTCTGGTCCTTACTTAATAGAAGACAGTAGCTTATTGGAACTTCTGTCCAGTTCCAAGCAGAGGAAGAAGGGCACAGTGAGTGGAACAAAGCCATGATCAGCCCTTCAGGAAAAAAAAACCCTGGCCGGGCACAGTGGCTCACGCCTGTAATCCCATCACTTTGGGAGGCAGGCGAATCACTTGAAGCCAGGAGTTCGAGACCAGCCTGGCCAACATGGTGAAACCCTGTCTCCTAAAAATACAAAAGTTAGCCAGGTGTGGTAGTGCAGGCCTGTAGTCCCAGCTACTCAGGAGGCTGAGGCAGGAGAATTGCTTGAGCCTGGAAGGCAGAGATTGCAGTGAGCCAAGATCCCACCACTGCCCTCCAGGCTGGGCGACAGACTCTGACTCAAAAAAAGAAAAAAAAAAAAGGAGAAAAGAAAAAAGAAAAAAATATTGGCCGGGCGCAGTGGCTTACGCCTGTAATCCCAACACTTTGCGAGGCTGAGGCGGGTGGATCACCTAAGGTCAGGAGTTCGAGACCAGCCTGGCCAACATAGTGAAAACCCGTCTCTACTAAAAATACAAAAAATTTAGCCGGGCGTGGTGGCGCACACCTGTAATCCCAGCTACTTAAGAGGCTGAGGTAGGAGAATCACTTGAACCTGGGAGGCCGAGGTTGCAGTGAGCCGAGATTGCGCCACTGTACTCCATCCTGGGCAACAAAGTGAGACTCAGTCTCAAAAATAAATAAATAAATAAAAATAAAAACAAAAACCCAGATAGTAGTTGAGATTCATGCTATATATCCAACCATAATGCAGATTCTGCTTATTACAGGATTATGGGCAAGGTAGCAATTTACTAATTCTGGTATTTTCAGGGAAGAAATGACAATTTCTACTTTTTTCTGTCAACGAATGGTTAAGCTAGACTTCTCTTTTCTAAACTCCACCTAGAGCATAAAAGCAGCTGGAAAAGAGAGAAACTTCAAATTCAGGTTAATGAGAAAGCCTGATTTATGGGTAGATTAGATTGAATCAGTTTTTGACATGGAAATGAAGTGGTTTGTGTTTTGTTTCAGATGGGAAAGCACTGATGCAATTTACCTCTAGGCACAGAAATAACCCATTTTAGGCCTGGCATGGTAGCTCTTGCCTGTAATCCCAGTACTTTGGGAGGCTAAGGCAGGCGGATCACCTGAGGTCAGGAGTTCGAGACCAGCCTGACCAACATGGTGAAACCCCGTCTCTACTAAAAATACAAAATTAGCCAAGCATGGTGGCGCATGCCTGTAATCCCAGCTACTAGGGAGGCTGAGGCAGGAGAATCACTTGAACCCGGGAGGCAGAGGTTGCGGTGAGCCAAGATCATGCCGTTGCACTCCAGCCTGGGCAACAAGAGCGAAACTGTCTCAAAAATAAAAAATAAAAATAACCCATCTTGTCATCTAGAAAAGAAGTGGAACAGCAGTCCTTCTTATCTCCCTACTTGAAACGCAGAGTTAAGTTCGAATAAGATGGTCGTATTTACTTTGCCATTCTCTCTCTTGAGGTCTCTCTTTCAGTCCTTCAGGCTAATCAAGGACCCAGCAAGCCACTGACACAGTGTATGAGAAGGAGAAAATAAAGGCAAGATTTATCTAATACTTTTGATATGCTAGGACTATGTAGAGTACTTGAGAGTACTCTATGTGTTATCTCGTTTTATCCTGTTAATATCCATGAGAACTAGGTCTTCATGTGCCCACTTTTACAACGGAAGAAACTGAGATTCAAGTAGTTAAGTAAGTACAGAGCCAGGACATCTCCAATGATGCCATGGAATGCATGGAAAACCTCCACTTGGATCATTCCACGAGCTTTCTTTTCCATAGGGAGACTCTAGCCCCCTTTTCCAAACTTTTTTCTTTTTCTTTTTTTTTTTAAAGAAGGGAAGATTGTGAGATCTGCTAGAGCTTCATGAAAAGGTGCTGACACCACAAAGAACACAAATTCATCCCTGCCTTCTGGGACTAGCCTATATTTCCTCATTGGCTCAAGATCCAAGGAGGCAAAGAGAGACATGCCCCAGAGCACACGCAGCAGAAAGGTTTGGGTGGTTCGGGGAGACTCTGACCTGCCCCAGGCTAGGGAGGGCACTACCTGAGTTCAACAGCTCCCTGGACAGCTCCACACAGATTTATCTGCAGCTGTCACTTACAACCAGCTCCTCCTTCCTCTTCTCCCTCCTCCCCAATGCCTGACCCTGCAGGGAAGCACGTCCAGCACGAATTCTTTCAAACCTCAGCTACCTTTAGGATTTTTATGTGTCTGAAGAGTTCCCTTCTTGACAAGCAGCATTAGTCAAGTCCAGTAGGTGGGAAGGGCATTTCCCGGTGATCCTGGGCTTGGAGGAAGGGGAGACCCTTCTCCCTCCCGGCTTTGGCAAGCAACCATAGAGAGGTCCATGTGGGTGGCAATGAATACAGACAAGCCAGAGGGGTTCTTGCTGGACAGGAATGCCCACGGGCCACACCTTCCTCAGCCCTCAGAGCACTTCATCATGTCTGGACCCGTGAATGGGGTGGCAGTGCCAGGGAGTGGGTTCTCCCAGTGTCTGGCTCCAACAGCTGGTTTACTGTGATGATTCTATTTGTGTTCCCTGTGTTCTGTTTGGCTTGGCAGCAGGGAAGGAAGAGGGCAACAGGTTCACTCCAGTTTGTACTGGGTTGTTCCTGCAGCCACACCCGGGCATTAAAGCAGGCGGCTTGCACCCTGGATGCCTTTACCTGGGGGCCCTTGGTGTGCAAAAGCAAAGCGTGGGAAGTATTTCCTTTTCATGGGCCAGCCAGGTGTGGCTGGCATTTCACCTATTCCTGTATTACTAACGTCATCCAGATTCAGGTCAAAGGGCAGGTTTCCTAGACTCCCATCACGCTGAGATCCGGGATCAGGGGATGGTTGATCAAGTCCATTTGGGCTGGATTACCTGAGTTCCTACTACTCATGGACACTTAACTCCTGCTTCTAAAACAAAATCTGTCCAGGCACAGTGGCTCATACCTATAATTCTAGCACTTTGGGAGGCTGAGGCAGGCGGACCACTTGAGCCAAGGAGGCCTAGACTGCAGTGAGTTATGATCATGCTACTACACTCCAGACTGGGAGACAGAGCAATACCTTGTTTGTTAAAAAAAAGAAAAGAAAAGAAAAGAAAATTCTGGACCAAGCGCAGTAGCTCATGCCTGTAATCCCAGCACTTTGGGAGGCCAAGGCGGGCGGATCACCAGAGGTCAGGAGTTTGAAAACAGCCTGACCAACATGGAGAAACCCCATCTCTACTAAAAACACAAAATTAGCTGGGTGTGGTGGCACATGCCTATAATCCCAGCTACTCGGGAGGCTGAAGCAGGAGAATCACTTGAACCAGGGAGTCGAAGGTTGCGGTGAGCCAAGATCACGCCATTGCACTCCAGCCTGGGCAACAAGAGCGAAACTCTGTCTCAAAAAAAAAAAAAAAAAAAAAATTCTGAGGTCAGGCAACTGTGCTGTACCTTGAAGGACTGGTGTCCCCAAAATTGAAATATGGTCTCTCCTAAAGCATACAAATTAGGGGTTCTTTTTATACAAGGTGGTAGCTTTCAAGGAAAACAGACTTCAAGGTCAAATAGACTTAGTCTAGAACTCTGGATTTGCCCCCTTACTTAGATGAGCCTCCATCCAGAACTAAAATCTCTAGCATGTGAAAAATAACAGCAAATATTTATGCTACTACATGCCAGGCACTGTTCTAAGCATTTTTGTAAAAACTCATTTAAGCCTCAAAACAACATAAAGAGGTGAGTAGGTGAGTAGATTATTGTCATCCCCTCTTACAGATGAGAAATGGAGGCAGAGAGGTTAAGGAGATTTTCAAAGGTCACACAGTTGATAAATGACAGTGCTAGGATTCAACGGAAGGAAGTCTGGAACCCATACGGAAGCGGAACCAGAACCTCTGGAACACATCTCAGAACCAGAATGGTAGCGATGTTCCTGGAGAGCCCTGCTGTGCCGGTGGCTAGATGCCTTAGACAGCAGACACAGACACAGCACCCCAGACCCGCCCTGTCATCTCTATGCTTCCCTTCTGAGGCTCCCAAGTCAACTTTGGAAAGGGCCTTTCTTTTTTCTGAGACAGGGTCTCGCTGTCTTTCCCAGGCTGAAAATCACTGAAATGCAGTCACTGAAATGCAGTGACTTTATCCTAGCTCACAGCAGCCTTGACCTCCCAGGCTCAAGTGATCCTCCCTCCTCATCCTCCTGAATAGCTGGGACTACAAGCCCCCACCACCACACCAGGCCAATTTTTGTATTTTTTGTAGAGATGGGGTTTCACCATGTTGCCCAGGCTGGTCTCAAACTCTTGGGCTCAAGCGATGGCCCGCCTTAGCCTCCCAAAATGTTGGGATTACAGGTGTGAGCCACCGCACCCAGCCAGAAAGGGCCTTTCTACTAGCCTAAACATTGCCCTTGCCCTGGACCCTGGGGCAGCCTTCCCTTGAATGCAGGGATTTCCTGGCTGAAGGTCACAGTCATGGTCATCCAGCCAGATCAACGAAAGGATCTTCAGAAGTGCACTAGCTTCCATGGGCTCCTCACCTGCTCCAGGGGCAAGAACAAGGCCTAGCATTATGACGCTATGGACCTGTCATGAATGAGCATTCTTCCCGGCAGGCAGGCTTATGCCTCTCTGTGCTCCTTCACACGCTGGGGGCCGGCAGAGCCAGGCTGGCATGCTGGGCATAACCAAGCATGTCGAGCAGGCAAGGCCACAGACAGCCCTGCCCTGAAGAAAGTGGCCATGACCTAGACAGCTGAATAATGAAACCATTTCCTCTCCAGGAGAGACCTGAGCACATGGCTGCAGGGCCTGGCAAAGCCATAGGCTTTGTTCCTGGGGCCGCTCCCTACCCGGATGAGATAATGTGCATTGTGGGGCTTGAGACAGTTAGAATGACTTCTTAAACGGAAGCAAGGTGTAGTTCATTACCATCACCCACGTTTACTGAGTGCCAAGTGTGCTTTATGTGACTGATAGGAATTCGTTTACTTTGTCCTTAAAACAACCCTGTGAGGTAGGTTCTTATACTATCCCCTTTGACAGATGAAGATATGGAAGCACAGAGATTGCTCGAGGCCAGGGGTTCAAGAGCAGCCTGGGCAACATGGCAAGACCCAGTATATATATATATATATATGTGTGTGTGTGTGTGTGTGTGTATTTTTTTTTTTTTTTTTTTGAGACTGAGTCTCGCTCTGTCACCAGGCTGGAGTGCAGTGGCGCAACCTCAGCTCACTGCAACCCCCACCTCCCACTTCAAGCAATTCTCCTGCTTCAGCCTCCCAAGTAGCTGGGACTACAGGTGCCTGCCACCACATCCAGCTAATTTTTTTGTATTTTTAGTAGGGACGGGGTTTCACCGTGTTGGCCAGCATGGTCTCAATCTCTTGACCTCATGATCCACCCACCTTGGCCTCCCGAAGTGCTGGGATTACAGGTGTGAGCCCCTGCGTCCAGCCTTCTATATTTTTAGTTTTTTAAAAAAGCAGTAGAGGCATAGAGAAGTTAACTTTCCCAACTCAGCACAGGCAATAAATGAGATTCAAACTCAGAAATGGCTGACTTCCCAGACTGTGCTAAACTATCTAAAGCAAAATGGAGGCCCTTTCCTCAGGGTCAGTGAAGACACAAGACCAGAGAAGGGTCTTGAGACGCTTCCATATTAGGCTGGGGATCCAAGGCCCTTGTCCAGTTACTGGGGACCCTTGGGACCATAGCCCATGCCTCCAGAAGTGTCATCTGATCCAACTTCCAGGCTCTCACTGGCCACTCTGGAGCTCAATGAGCCAGAGATGGCTCCACTAATCCCTTAGGCTAGCTAGAGCCATACTACAAGTTTACAACTCAGCTGGAACCTGGCTGGCCCCACAAGAACAGCAAAGGATGGGGACAGAGAGTGGGTACAAAACTGTGACTGTCTTACTTCTGGGTATTTGTCAGGATGTGGCCTTGTCCATCTGGGCTGGGGCTCTGTTTGTGACTGGGACAGCATCGTGCTATAGGCCAAAGCTTAAGCTCCCAAGACACCCTTCTATTTCTTTACAGTGCCTCTTCTCCCTCTGCTTCCTCCTGATAAAATACACATATCTTAGTAGCATTTGACAACACCAGCCCTGGAGCTCGACTCCCTGGGTTCAAATCCCTGCTCTGCTACTCATTGCAAACTATTTATCTTACGAGTTAATCTTTCTGTGCCTCAGTTTCCTTCTCTGCAAAATGGGCACACCAATACTACCTTCCTTATACTGTTGTTGGAGGACAACAAGATAAGGTGTGTGGATGGCAAATGCTTGACAAACAGTAGGCATTAACGTGGTGGTGGTTTATTATATATTTGCTTCCTTCCTTCTCAGTATACTGAGATAAGTTTATTGAACGCTGGCTATAAGCTACAACCTACTGGGCTATTGTTTGTACTCCTCCTTCCATGCCCTCCTACCATCAATTCTTAGGTTAGTCCTTTTTTTTTTCTTTTGAGATGGAGTCTTGCTCTGTCATCCAGGCTGGAGTACAGTGGCATGATCTCGGCTCACTGCAACCTCCACCTCCTGGGTTCAACCATTCTCCTGTCTAAGCCTTCCAAGTAGCTGGGATTACAGGTGTGCACCACCATGCCTGGCTAATTTTTGTATTTTTAGTAGAGATGGGGTTTCGCCATGTTGGCCAGGCTGGCCTCGAGCTCCTGGCCTCAGGTGATTTGCCTGCCTCGGCCTCCCAAAGTGCTAGGATTACAGGTGTGAGCCACCGTGTCGGCCCGTAGGTTAGTCCTATATGGGGAGATTTGGGCTTAAAAGGAAAAACCAAAAAATAAATAAAATAAATAAAAAAGAAATCTAGGAATAGGCACTCCTGGAACGGGACAGAGGTCCCATTAGACTGGGTGAGGGGTCTTTGAGAAATACCTTAATGCCAATTGTCTTCACAATTTTAATGGTTCAACATGCGAAGGGAGCCAAGGCTATTAATTTGTAACAGCTGCAAAGAAATCATGTCAACACCTCAGTATAGATTCTCTCTGTGGGCACAGAGGTTAGGTTGAAAGTCATGAGACCTAAAATAATTATTGAGCAACAGCATTGTAGGGGATTACTGATGGCAAAATAAACAACCTTCAACAGAATCCACCCCACTTGGTTGTATCCTCCGGGAGACTCTCACCTCCTTTTTTTAGATTGTCATCTCAGTCTGACTACAAACCATGTCTTAATAGATAAAGCTTTGATTCCACCTCTAACATAAGAGCAATACAAACCCACATGCCTACTAAATATAAGTGGCTGATGATATGGGCCTAGGATAGAAAGTGAGCAACTTAATGGGTGAGTTCATGCCGCAAAGGAGAGTCAAGGTGAAGGGGTACCTTATCTCAAATCTGAACAAAGACGTATATTTCCTGTGAAGTCTGATGAGAAAAAGAAGAAAAAAAATGTGGTTTGACTCCATCACACAAAGTAAGTCACAGTGGGTCCTGCTCTGCTGTAGAACTTTAAAGCCTGAGCGGCAGGCACATTTGTGGTTTGGTTGTGTTATCCGATTCTGCGGCTGACACACGCTGCTTTTAGTTCATGGCTGTAGAGTTTCCAGTCTCCCTTGGGCTCTTACGTTATGGTTTCAGGTTTCAGCGTGGCCACACACCTCTCTCCACTATTCAGGTGGAACAGCTGCAAGGGTTCCCCCTGCAAAGAGATCATAATAATAGCAGTAGCTGCCACTGAGGCCTGGCCCTGTGCCAGATGCTGCTTTGTTTTGCATGGTTTCATTCTTTATGCCCACTTTGCAGATCAGGAAACTGAGGCTTAATACAAGTAAAATAATTGATGTAGGGCCACTCAGGTAGAAAGGTGCTGAGGCTGGATTCACACCCAGGACCATGTAACTGCTGAAACTGAGAGTTTATGCACCAGATCATACTGCATCAGCATATTCCTCCTCTTTCTACACTTTCGTTTATGCCGTGCTTTGTCCCTTTTCTCCTGCATACCAGCTGAGCATGTCCTCTTTACTCTGCCTGTCCCTCAAAGACCTGCCTCCTCTGTTCCAGTGCCCCACCCGTGTCAGCCTAAAGTAGCCTCTCATCCCTCTGAACTTTTTCACCTGGACCATTTACTTTGGCACTTAATTATGCATTATTTTGTGTTATTATTTAAATGTTTTATTGCATAGGCTTTGTCTCCCAAACTGAATTACAAGCTCCCAGAAGTCAGGATCAGCTTTTCATGCGGCTTTTTGTTTTTTGTTTTTTGTTTTTTTTTTTGAGACGGAGTCTCACTCTTGTCGCCCAGGCTGGAGTGAGTGGTACAATCTCAGCTTACTGCAACCTCCACCTCCTGGGTCCAAGCGATTCTCCTGCCTCAACCTCCCAAGTAGCTGGGATTACAGGCACCCACCACCACGTCCAGCTAATTTTTGTTTGTTTGTTTTTTTTGTATTTTTAGTAGAGACATGGTTTCACCATGTTGGCCAGGCTGGTCTCGAACTCCTGACCTCAGGTGATCCGCCTGCCTCGGCCTCCCAAAGGGCTGGATTACAGGTGTGAGCCACCGTGCCCGGCCTTCATACAGCTTTGTATTCCTTCCAGCACTCAGCATAGAACTGTGCTCAGTAAGAGTCTAGATCCTGCTGAGGAGCACCAGGGGAAAAGATAAAATGCAATAAAAATGTTAAAGTCTGAAGAAATAAAAGAAAACCGAATGCCGTGGCTCATGCCTGTAATCCCAGCACTTCGGGAGGCGGAGGCACAGGCAGGAGGATCACTTGAGGCCAGGAGTTTGGGGCTGCAGTGAGCTATGATTTTATCACTGCTATGCAACAGAGCAAGACCCTGTCTCTAAAAAGAAAGGAAGAAAACTCAAAATAAATATTCCAAATGTGGCTTCTCCACAGAGGTTATTTTCAGCAAGTGGGATTCATTCTGAGCTCAGCTGCCTTCAACCCTCAATCTTTCTGTAGTGTCTAGCCTAATAAATAGGCGACCTATAAATATTTAATGAATGAAAGAAAGAATGAAACCCCATCTCCGTCAGTTAAAGTAACTTGGACAAATTATCTTAACTCCTCCAAACCTCAGTTTCCTCATCTGTAAAATGGGAATCATTCTTGGAGCGTTTACCCCAGAATTAGAGGCATGTGAGGCACCTCTCACTGTCCCTGGCACATGAGAACTACCATAGTTATTATCACCGTTATTATATTCTAAATCTTTCGTGGGAAATGGTTCCAGCAACTCGAAAATAAAGGACATAGCCACTAGTCTGATGACTTTAAGGTGGAAAATTGCTGCACAAGATGATCAAAACACCCCTAAGCAACCACATGGCCCACAGTTTTCTGCATATTGCTATTTACCAGGTTTCAGGGTTACGTTTTGTTTTTGCTTGTGGCCAAGTTGGAACCCCCGTGGTGTCTTCCTATGGAACTCAGCTTACCGTTGCTGCGGGGGCCCACTTTTCCTTTCTTTATTAAGAAAAGGAAACAGGAAATCGAATGTAAAACCCTCCGACGGTTAGTATCACACCAAAGTTGTGAATTTAACCACACCCCCGCCAGGAAATGGAAGTACAGTTCTCACAGTGATGTTCCCTCACCTTTCATGGCCCACGTGGTATTTTTCAGCTTTTAGTTAGATAAGGTAGATGAAAGGGCTGAACTTTGGGCAGTGGGCTGTCATTGGGTAATTGTTGATTTGGGCATAGATTAGCACACAGATTTAATATTGTACTAATCGAGAAGGGTCTTCCATTTGCTCTGTGGCTATATGGCTCTATCAGATGTCACAAACTTGGGGGTTGGGGAGGTCCGTGCAGTGGTGGGACCGTGGCTCACTGCAGCCTCGAGCTCCCAGACTCAAGTGATCCTCCCACCTCAGCTTCCTGAGTTGCTGGGACTACAGGCACGAGCCACCGAGCCTGACAACATAGTGTATTTTAACATTTGCTTCAGTTGTCAACATTTAAAAACAGAGAAGCCAGGCATGTTAAGTCACACCGATAATGTCAACACTTTGGGAGGCTGAGGCAGGAGGATCAAGACCAGCCCAGGAGTTCGAGACCAGCCTGGGCAACATAGGGAGAACCCCGTCTCTACAAAAATAAAAACGAAAAAATTAGCCAGATGTGGTGGCACATGCCTGTGGTCCCAGCTGCTTGAGAGGCTGAAGTGGGAGGCTTGCTTGAGCCCAGGGGGTCGAGGCTGCAGTGAGCTGTGATTGCACTATTGCACTCCAGCCTGGGCAACAGAGCAAGACCCTGTCCCCCCAAAATAAAATAAGAATAAAAACAGGGAGATTGCACACATGTGCACATGCACATACATCCATTCTGGATTTACAGACTCTCCTGGGGAAAAATAGTGATAGTGGGTTATAGACGCCACTGTTAGGTGGGCACGTGTCTTGGGTTTGGTGCAGCAGCCCTCTGCACTCATTTGCTTCACCTGCCTGCCCCCAGGGCATTGAGATTCCAGGCTTAAGTCTTGTGTATCTGAGAGGCATTCACAAATCTGCCACTCCCAGGAGACAGGTATAGTTTCCTGACACCTTAAGCCTGGCCTTCTGTATATTCAATCTTTTGCTTTCACCTTCTCTTCCCTGCCTGAGTCTCCTGATTCCAAGTCACTAGTCCTGATGACCCCAGAGATGGACAGATGCCTAGCCTAGGCATAAGGAAAGTTTGCCATTTCTTTGCTCCACCCCAGGTTAGGTCTGTATGTGAGACGTATCTACAAGGAAGCTTTGGAAAAGCAAATCAATTGAGGAGATAATAGCACCATCAGGTCACCCCCGAAACTGCACATTTTCCTTCGTTGATGTGTTTGGAACTCTTGCTTTGCCACCCAGCACTCATTCAGGCTTCTTCTGGCAACTGGATTCCCATTTTCCTCTAGGAAATTACCCTTCCCCAATCCTAATCTCTGTGCATTAAGCGCAGTTGACTCTACCTCTCCCTCCATAGATGGCCTGGCCAATCAGAGCACTGCTCAATTCCTCTGCTGTAGTGATTGGTTCAGAGGTGGGCACATTACCCCCGTGAAACACAATGAGACCTTTGCCGGGATTGCCCAGAGACAAGCATGTGCTGTTTTCCACTAGACTTGAACCTGAGCACATACAGACCTAGAGTTGCTGTCCGCCACCTTGCATGAAGAGCCTGAGAATTGCACTGGCAGTGAAGGATAGCCCTACTTAAAGATAAACAGAGATGGGGTCCTGGAGCCCTAGATGAAGCCTTGCCTGATGCAGCCTACCTTGTACTTTTTAATTCTACAAGCAGCTCCCTAGAGAAACTAGACCAGAATGTTTTTAGGTTTCCTACCTGAAGTCAATTTTCCCTAAAAAACAGGCACCAGGTGAGAGAGGGTGAAAAGGGGTACACTTTTTTTTTTTTGAGATGGAGTCTTGCTATGTCGCCCAGGCTGGAGTGCAGTGGTGCAATCTCGGCTCACTGCAACCTCCACCTCCCGAGTTCAAGCGATTCTCCTGCCTTAGCCTCCCGAGTAGCTGGGATTACAGGCGCCTGCCATCATGCCCAGCTAATTTGTTGTATTTTTAGTAAAGATGGTGTTTCACCGTGTTGGCCAGGCTGGTCTCAAACTCCTGAACTCAAGTGATCCGCTGCCTCGGCCTCCCAAAGTGCTGGGATTACAGGCGTGAGCCACTGCATCTGGCCGAGGGGTACTCTTTTTATGTACCTTTCAGGTGATTCATTATGTTTCAATAGGAGCCTCCAGATAGCCAAAATAAAGGGTTAGTTTAGTTTTTGTTTTTTTGAGACGGAGTCTCACTCTTGTTGCCCAGACTGGAGTGCAATGGCACGATCTCGGCTCACTGCAACCCCTGCCTCCCAGGTTCAAGTGATTCTCCTGCCTCAGCCTCCCGAGTAGCTGGGATTACAAACTCATGCTACCATGCCCGGCCAGTTTAGTTTGTTTTTATTTTTCTGCACTGGATACTCCTACTCAAGGTTTGTTGTTTTTTAATTATAAAAGTAATACATGTTTTTAAAATTCCAATAATCAAGAAGTAAGTAACACTAATAAAAAGGTAAAGTCTTCTCCACCTTCATCCCTGGAGCCACTTTTTAGAGGTAGCTTTGGGGAGTAATAATATTGATGAGAATAATCACTAATGTTTATAAAGGGCTTACTGTGTTCCAGGCATCACTGTAAGTACTTTACATGTGTTTTCACACTGAATGTGTGGGATAGAAATGTTAAAGTTGCAAAGCTAATAAAATCCAAATAATCTGACTCTAGAACCACTACACTGCCTACAATTAGATGTTTAGTCATAAATATACACATACACATATTTAAACCACAGTGAGTTCATGTTACACATTCTGTTCATAATCATCTATTTTAACTGACTATCATCTTTGACACCACTCAATGTCACTTTCCCGTTAAGAACGTGGAGCTCTTGGCTAGGAAAACTTTCCTGGATACAGATGACTTTCAGGATGGCAGCCCATTCATTTCGGAGTTGAGCTTCCCTAGGCCTCCAGCAAATAGTAATAACCCTCATGTCTGAAGCAGGTGACAAATGGAAAAGAGGTGGGCATCAGCCTTAGGATATTGAGCTTTTAACCTATTGGTCATTGGTTGAGAGATGTCCATGTGTTACATGCCCTTTGAGGGCAGAGACTATGCCTTAGACCCAAGTATATTTCCAGAGCCTAGTACAGTGTGTTTGGCATGGTTGGCACAGAGAGAGTGCTCAAGAAACATTTATTGAGTGAATAGATAAAGAGACTACTTGTTGAAAATCACTTTGGTGCAGGGCATCAAGAAATGAGACTCATGCTGGGTCCTCTGTGGAGAGGTTCCTAAGCCCTAAAGGTGAACACAACTGACCTGGATTCATGAGCATTTATTATTAATGACGTCATGCTGATGTTCAAACAGGATTTCCACAGTTTCTCATTCTTACGCATTGAAGTAAAACAAATATCTTGCATACCATCAGTAGACAGTTTTAAAAGGGCATCTGGGCCAAGCATGGTGGCTCACGCTTATAATCCTAGCACTTTGGGAGGCCGAGGTGGGTGGATCGCTTGAGGCCAGGAGTTTGAGACCAGCCTGGCCAACATGGTAAAACCCCATCTCTACTAAAAATACAAAAATTAGCCAGGCATGGTGGCACGTGCCTGTGGTCCCAGCTACTCGGGAGGCTGAGGAGGGAGAATTACTTGAACTCAGGAGGCGGAGGTTGCAGTGAGCAGAGATCACGCCACTGCACTCCAGCCTGGGCAACAGAGCAAGACTCTGTCTTAAAAAAAAAAAAAAGGCATCTGGTCCATCATAAAGGTGGTATAGAATGGTGGTTATAAGTTTGGGATCTAGGTAATCCCAGCACTTTGGGAGGCCGAGGTGGGTGGATCACAAGGTCATGAGTTCAAGACCAGCCTGGCCAAGATGGTGAAGCCCCGTCTCTACTAAAAATACAAAAATTAGCTGGGTGTGATGGCGGGTGCCTGTAATCCCAGCTACTCGGGAGGCTGAGGAAGGAGAATCGCTTGAACCCGGGAGGCAGAGGTTGTGGTGAGCTGAGATCGCACCATTGCACTCCAGCTTGGGCAACGAGTGAAATTCTGTCTCAATAAATAAATAAATAATAAGTTTGGGATCTAGAGTCAGCCAACCTAGGTTCAAATCATCCTAGCTGTGACATGTACTAGCTGTGTGGTCTTGGCATGTTACTTAATCTCTCTGTGGCTTTATTTTCCCATCTGTGAAATGGGGCTAGTAAGAGTACCTACCTCATAAAGTTGTGGGGGTTATCTGAGTTGATGGATATAGAACGTTTTTTTTTTTTTTTGAGACCGAGTCTCGCCCTGTTGCCCAGGCTGGAGTGCAGTGGTGTGATCTCAGCTTACTGCAACCTCTGCCTCCTGGGTTCAAGTGATTCTCATACCTCAGCCTCCCAAATAGCTGGGACTACAGGCACATGCCAACATGCCTGGCTACTTTTTGTATTTTAAGTAGAGACGGAGTTTCGCCGTATTAGCCAGGTTGGTCTCGAACTCCTGACCTGAAGTGATCCACCCGTCTCAGCTTCCCAAAGTGCTGGGATTACAGGCATGAGCCACCACACCCAGCCTGGATATAGAACCTTTAAATGAGTAATAAGCATACAGTCAACATTCAATAAATATTAGCTAGTACCTTTACTATGGAGAGTCCTGTTATGTGACTTTTAAAAAGAGACCAAATTAAATGATGATATGAGATCTTCTGTAATTTCTCCCTCATCATGTCCCGTAAAGCCAAATGTGCTACTGATTTTGAAATATTGTACATGTTGAGCACAGAATATATTGTTTTAACTTGTTCTCATCCCTGGAAGGCATTCCAATTCATTATTAGTTTCTTGGCAGTTAAAGCACATGCCTTTCTGGTAATACTGCCTAATACACATAATCCCTTTAATACCCACCCACTGAGTATAGCGAGTGCTCCCTCCTCCGTGTCATTGGCTGCAGAATCTTCTCTCCCTTTCCCCTAAGTGGCCCAGCGTCATCGCATTCAGGGGGAGCTACTGTAACCACTGCAGCTGTTCTAAAATTGCAAGTGTGCCAACAGCCATCTTCCTTTCCTCTCTAGTCCCGCAGGCTCCTGTTCACACAGGCTTTCTCCATCTCCCTCTCTGTCACAGCGGGCTATCTGTCAGGATTCATGAGCCTAAGAAGGCACTGTCTAAAATTCTGAAAGCTGGCCAGGCACAGTGGCTCACGCCTGTAATCCCAGCACTTTGGGATGCCAAGGCGGGCGGATCATTTCAGGCCAGGAGTTCGAGACCAGCCTGGCCAACATGGTGAAACCCCGTCTCTACTAAAAATACAAAAGTTAGCCAAGCGTGGTGGCAGGCGCCTGTAGTCCCAGCTACTCGAGAGGCTGAGGCAGGAGAATCGCTTGAAGCCGGGAGGCAGAGGTTGCAGTGTGCCAAGATCGCACCACTGCACTCCAGCCTGGGCGATAGAGCGAGACTCAAAAAAAATAAAATAAATAAAATAAAATTCTGAAAGTTTCCCAAAAAAATGCCCGTTATGTACCCACCTTTCCCACTGCAAGTTTGTTTATTGATTGATTGAGATAGAGTCTTGCTCTGCCACCCAGGTTGGAGTGCAGTGGCTCAATCTCAGCTCACTGCAACCTCTGCCTCCCAGGTTCAAGCAATTCCCATGCCTCAGCCTCTTAAGGATTACAAGCATGCACCACAATGCCTGGCTAATTTTTGTTTTTGTACCATTAGTAGAGACAGGGTTTCACCATGTTTGCCAGGCTGGTCTGGAACTCCCAGCCTCAAGTGTGATCCACCCACTTCGGCCTCCCAAAGTGCTGGGATTACAGGTATGAGCCACCACTCGGAGCCCCCACATTGCAAGTTTATTCTGGAATAACATCATTATTATTCTGTTATCATGGGGCAGACTCTGAGAAGAGGAGACAAAGGACTTAGGACAACAGTCCATGTACACACACACACACACACACACACACACAGATCTGTCTTTGGAAGATAAGTAGGCAGTTTTTGACACAGTATTAAATGAAAATATTTTGGGCAGTGATGCCTTCAGAGTATAGAAAAGCTAGGTCCGACGACGCGCGGTGGTTCACGCCTGTAATCCCAGCACTTTGGGAGGCCAAGGCAGGTGGATCACGAGGCCAGGAGATTGAGACCATCCTGGCTAACACAGTGAAACCCCGTCTCTACTAAAAATACAAAAAAATTAGCTGGGTGTGGTGGCAGGCGCCTGTAGTTCCAGCTACTCGGGAGGCTGAGGTAGGAGAATGGCGTGAACCTGGGAGGCGGAGCTTGCAGTGAGCCGATGGTGCCACTGAACTCCAGCCTGGGCGACAGAGCGAGACTCCGTCTCAAAAAAAAAGGAAAGCTAGGTCCTACTTTAATAAAGCCTAATAAATGAAGATGTAAATATTAAAACAGATGAATTAAGTGGTGATTAACTGTCTTGTAAAAAATTGCTTTGTGTATATAGGCAGTATCAGGGATTTAATTAGTCTCTCTCCATGCATTTGAACCTGATTTATAGCATGAGGTCTCTTTTAATCCTATCTCCACTTCCTCAAAGATACTGATGTCAGCTACCACCAGAATTGCTGAGCTGAATTCCCTGACCCAAGGTGGCTCGGTTTAATTCAGTCAAGTATTAGGCATTCAGCCTGTTGAATCCTCTCCTGTGCCCAGATCCCTAAGGCCAGCCTCACCCAGGGTGTGGCCTGGGCAGAGAGGGCAACCCGCCCGTGGGATGGAGCTGCAAGGTTCTGATGGTCTTCGTAGAATCACAGCTGGCTTGGCAGTTTCTTGGCAGTTTCTTGACCAAGCGGGAGACATAGATGGAGGCATGTTGTCTTCCAGGAAGGACACGGAGGTCCATATAAAAATTCTCTACTCTTATCCCACAGATGCGTGGTGGCATGGGAGTGCGGAAAAGGCAGGCCCCGCCATAGATGGTGGGAAAACCGCTGGAAAGATGCTGATCCATGGTGGCTGATCACCATGGTGAGATGGGTACCATACTAATGGTTCCATCCTCAACAGTGCTACCTGCATGATACAACTGTGGGCAGGACAGGCCAGGTCTATTCTCTGCCCTTCTGTTTGAGGCTTTGGAGACAGACAACTGCAGGCCCACTGGTTTTACTCATGGTCAGACTTCCCAGGACCTGGCCTTTCCTCTTCAATGTCACTGTCATTTCCCACAAACCCTATCCCTCACAACATTTGAGAAAGCTTTAGTTCAAAAATGTGGCTTCTTCCCCTATTCATTCATTCGGCAAAAACTTATTGGGCAGGCTGAGCAGTAGGCCCAGTAAGGAAATGCAGTCTTGGCTGGGCGGGTGGCTCATGCCTGTAATCCCAGCACTTTGGGAGGCTGAGGCAAGGGATCACTTGAGGTCAGGAGTTTGAGACCAGCCTGGCCAACATGACAAAACCCCATCTCTACTAAAAATACAAAAAAAAAAAATGAAATGCAGTCTTGTCTTGTAGAACCCCAGGAAAGATTGCAGAGCATTCAAGCACTGCAGCAAGGGTGAGCAAAGATGGAGTAGAAAGGGACCTGATCCAGGTGTGGAGGAGTTAACACATCCTGCTTGAGTTGAGGCCTGAAAGAAGCTTTGGAATTTTTCAGGGGAAAAAAAGTGACAGGAAGGGCATTCTAGGCAGATGGAATGGTGCATGCTAACACACAGAGGATGGGAGAGTTCAGCACATTTAGCTTTAAGGTGCCAAGGACAGGATACCGTAGCTCATGCCCATAATCCCAGCAATTTGGGAGGGTGAGACGCATGGATCACTTGAGCCCAGGAGTTAAAGACCTGCCTGGGCAATATGGCAAAACCCCATCTCTACAAAAAAAAAAAAGTGGAAAAATTAGCCAGGCGTGGTGGCACATGCCTGTGGTCCCAGCTACTGGGGAAGCTAAAGTGGGAGGATGGGAGGATCCCTTGAACCCCGGAAGTCGAGGCTACAGTGAGTCGAGATCACGCACTGCATCCCAGCCTGGGTGACAGAGTGAGACATTGTATCCAAAAAAAAAAAAAAATGTGCCAAGGAGTGGAAGGAGGAGAGGGCTGGTGTGAAGGGTTGAGAGGATTGCAGTTTGAGCTGAGCCAGAGAAATAAGCAGGTCCCAGGTTGCAGAGGGCCTTGTCTACCTGGTAAAACATTTAGGTTTTCTCCAGAGAGAGAAATGAAGGGCCATGGAACAGGCTTACCCAGTGGGATCACAGGATTTGTGTTTTAGAAAGGACACAGACAGCATGATGGAGTGGCATTGGAAGGCAACAAGCAGACCACTAAAGAGCCAGAATGGTGAGCTCCTGCCCCCAGCCATGGTGGGGGGAGGACATGAGTAGCAAGATTCTGCCTAAATTAATTATTAATAAGCGACGCAGTGATTCATCTATACCTTCCCCATTCCTAGCTTCATTTCCCCATCCAGCCCCTAGGAGCCCTGACTTTGATTCTAGTCCGTTTCTGTTTCCTTCTTCCCTTAGCTGCCCTCTTCACTGGAATTCTCTAAGGTGCCTGTTCAGCCCTATGGAAACGGCTGCCAGATTCTTCTGTTTTCTTCATGGAAAGCTCCCAAGTTTTTCTCTCCAAAATCCCTTAGAAGTGCTTTGGCCAGTGGAAGAGAGGGGTCTTCAACGTCTTTCAAAGAACAGCTAAGAAATAGTGGCTCAGTGAAGTTGCTAGTTATGGGAACGCCACCTGCTGTGGGAGCTGCCAGTGACGGGAAGCCCAAATCAGCAAGATGAGCCCCAGCCGCAGGCCTCACATTCTGGCAGTCTCCACGAGCCAAGAGGTGTCCATGCCAAGTCCTCATTCCCATGGTGATGCCTTATGGGCTCCATCATGTTAGCCAGAATATACCCTGGGAGATTATACCTGGGAGACACGTAGCTCAACAAGTACGGAACATGTCTTCCCTGCTGGTATTGGGGGGACAGGATGAATATCTGTCTGATAAGCTCACTGAGATATGTTAGGCTTGTTCCCTGTGAATAATTTATATTTTGAGAAACCTAGTACTTTCAAATTCATACAATAATGAGCTGTGTTATATTAGGATTCTGTTGTATGTTCACCTATCAAAATTTATACCTTAAATACTCACACTCAATATGGGGAGATACAAAGATAATTTAGATATCATATATGATTAACTATAGAAAACACATATCTTTTTTTTTTTAAGAGACAGGGGTCTCACTATGTTGCCCAGGCTGGTGTCAAACTCCTGGGCTCATGCAATTCTCCTACCTCAGGTTCCCAACATGCTGGGATTACAGGTGTGGGTAACCATGCCTGGTCAGAAAACACATATCTTAACACAATACACGATAATCACAATAGCAGGAAACAAGTTTTGTTTTGTTTTGTTTTTTTAATCAGAAAGGCAACATTTCCAGGTGAAAATTTTCCTCAGTGATGTAGGAAATGCCATCTTCTGTCATCAGCCCATCTCTAAATTCTCACTCTCACATTTGTTCATGTAGCTGCTACTCCTAATTCCAGATGAAAAATTCCTGTCGTTCAAAGGCAGAGCCGTTTGTAATTTATGCAACCCCTGGGTTCCATCAAATGAAAAGAGTTACTGAAATAGAAGTTATTCTTATTGCCATGCCAACAGCAGACCCACAACCTCAGCTTACAAACACATTCTGTGCTAAAGCCCAAAGCACATACCCTCACGTGCCTCCATCAGAAAGATCTTTCCATTTCCTTCAAGAACAGACCTCCTTCACGTACAATATCCCTCCCAGTAGCATACGTAGGCCTCATTCCTCAGGGAGCTGGCAGGAACACACACACACACACACACACACACACACACACACACACACACTCCTCCAGCACACACCTCCTTTCTCATTTTCCAGAGACCCGGGGGTGTGTGTGTGTGAATGTCTGAACTGATGACATATTGTGACAGAGGACGCAAGACAGTGAGGCACAGCCTCAAAGCAATGCAGGTCACAGCAATAGGCTTTATATAACCCAGAGCCATGGAGAGACCCAAAATAGCAGCCTCCCTGCTGCTCAGTTAGTCTCCTCCATCAACCAGGGATAAAATTAGAGCAGGCGCTGACGTGCACCTGCGTCTGCACAGGGACTCCAGGGAGACAGTGAGAACAGGCTCGACACTCTGCCATCGGCCACGCAGACTGCCAGATTTTTCAGACCCAATCTGTTACCAGACAGAACTCTGTGTGTGTGTGTGTGTGTGTGTGTGTGTGTGTGGTACACACACGCACGGGTGTACATGTGAGCCATGTGGAGCCCTGCTCTGAGAACATTTCAAGGGAATGGCTGGGAAGTTTGGCGGCATGGGGCTTTGAGAAGAATGTTCCAGGTTTTTGGGGGAGGAAGTCAGTCCCCACACCAGTCCCCATTTTACTTCATAGTTCCTTCTCGCCGCCCTCCCTACCGCTTCTCTCTGGCCTGTGTGGGGTCAAGTTTGGCTGGGAAGTCCTTCCTCTAAGACCTCGTTCTGCAAAACAAACAACAAACTAAAACAAAATCCTGCTGTGTTTATTTCAATTCAACCAAACACACACAGTCTGGAGAGTAAAAGCTTGTGCCAAGAGGTCCAGAGGAGAGACAGGCTGGTGAATGTGGCCGACTGTTCTGCAGGCCCCGGGCCCCCACTTTGTCTGGAAGCCATGAACGCTGCTTACAGGTGGGATTGGCAGAAATCCTGTCCTGCCGAGGCAGCAGGTGATTTGTTCTTTTTCTGCTTGAGGGAAAACAGGGCAGAATGATTTTTTCCCCCAAAAGATGCACAGTTAAAGGTTAGTCATTTTGTACCAGATATGATACAAATTTCAAGGGAGGAAGCATGGCTGACCCCAGGAACCAGAGACCAGATAAATAGGTACAAACTAGATGGAATGAGACAAGATTGTGTTTTGTTTTGTTTTTAGGAAAGAGCCGTCATCCCACACTATGACCTCTGAAATTCTACTATTATACATTAATTTTGGGAAGTTTATGTTCTTGGACTTCCCTTTTAAGTAAATACTTTAGAAGCTGGCCATGGTGGCGCGTGCATATAGTCCTAGCTATTTGGGAGACTGAGGTGGGAGGATTGCTTGAGCCCAAGAGTTCAAGGTTACAGTGAGCTACAATCATACTACTGCACCCCAGCCCACTGGGTGACAGAGCGAGACGGCCTCTCTAAAAAAGTTTTGGCCAGGCGCAGTTACTGGCCAGCTACTCGGGAGGCTGAGGCGGGAGGGTCGCTTGAGCCCAGGAGGTTGAGGCTGCAGTGAGCAGTGACTGTGCCACTGCACTCCTGGCTAGGTGACACAGTGAGACCTTGTCTCAAAAAAAAAAAAAAAAATGTGGGGGGCTGGGCGCAGTGGCTCACGCCAGTAATTCCAGCACTTTGGGAGGCTGAGGCAGGTGGATCACGAGGTCAGGAGATCGAGATCAGCCTGGCCAACATGATGAAACCCTATCTCTACTAAAGATACAAAAATTAGCCAGGCATGGTGGCACACGCCTGTAATCTCAGCTACTCCAGAGGCTGAGGCAGGAAAATCACTTGATCCAGAGAGTCAGAGGTTGCAGTGAGCCGAGATCGCGCCACTGCACTGCAGCCTGGTGACAGTGCAAGCCTCCATCTCAAAAAAAATAAATAAAAAATAAAAAAATTTAAGAAGAAAAAAAACACCTTAGTGAGTGGTAATATATTCAACTATTTCACATGGAGGTATCCATAATTTATCCTTTTCCTTTTAAGGTAACCCAAATAAATCCTGGATTCCCATATAGCCCAGGATCTGTGCAGTATCATTTTCACAAAACAAAACAATATACACACGCATGCGAGAGCACACACACACACACACAATAATCTAATTTTTAATGGCCGGGTGTGGTAGCTCACACTTGTAATCCCAGCATTTTGGGAGTTCAAGATGGGTGGATTACCCTAAGGTCAGGAGTTTCAGACCATCCTGGCCAACATGGCGAAACCCCGTCTCCACTAAAAATACAAAAAATTACCTGGGCGTGGTAACACATGCCTGTAATGCCAGCTCCTCGGGGGGCTGAGGAAGGAGAATCACTTGAACCCAGGAGGCAGAGGTTGCAGCGAGCCAAAATCGAGCCACTGCACTCAATCCTGGGCAACAAGAGCGAAACTCCGTCTCAAAATAAAATAAAATAAAATAATTTTTAAAATAATTCCCATTTTTATTTAAATATTGAGAAAAGCAACAAAAAGGATCTGACAGCAAGCAAAGCCACACTCTGAACTTCCCCTTTCCCTCCTCCAAGTCTTTTTTTTTTTTTTTTGAGACGGAATCTTGCTCTGTCACCCAGGCTGGAGTGCAGTGGTGTGATCTCAGCCCACTGCAACCTCCACTTCCCAGGTTCAAGCAATTCTCCTGCCTCAGCCTCCCAAGTAGCTCGGACTACAGGTGCGTGCCACCACACCCAGCTAATTTTTGTATTTTTATTTTATTTTATTTTATTATTTTTTTTTTTTTGAGACAGAGTCTTGCTCTGTCGCCAGGCTGGAGTGCAGTGGTGCGGTCTTGGCTCACTGCAACCTCTGCCTCCCGGGTTCAAGCGATTCTCCTGCCTCAGCCTCCTGAGTAGCTGGGATTACAGGCACACAACCACACCCGGCTAAATTTTGTATTTTTAGTAGAGACGGGGTTGCACCATGTTGGTCAGGCTGCTCTCAAACTCCTGACCTCGTGATTTGCCCACCTTGGCCTCCCAAAGTGCTCGGATAACAGGCGTGAGCCACCACGCCCGGCCCCCTCCTCCTCTGAGCCCTTTAAAAATTCCAGACACCCATAGATATTGCTCTCCCTCTCTCAACCTCTCCCTTAGCTCTTTATTTTTGTGTCAATTGACCAGCATCTCTGGCTTCTTTTAGTCCTCTCCAATCTGCTCACTCTTTGGCTTCTTCAAGCACAAAAAGGAAGCAGCCGAGGCTGACTCAGTAAGCAAGAATCTGTTCCCCCTTCAAAGTCCAGGCGTAAGGGTTCAGAGACAGTGCGGCTACTCACCCTGCTAGACCGACAGGGCTGTGGGGCTGTGGCGGGTGGGGTGGGGGAGATCTCTGAGGAAAGGACTTTGCTAAAGGAGATAGGAAGGAAGGGGGTGGAGAAATGGAGTGGAGGGAACTTCAAAGTGAAATTTCTGTCGTTGGACAGTTTTTGTCTTTGGCCTACCTTGTACAGTCACCAAGAGTTGAGACCAAGAGCTTATTGAAAGTACACGGTACTTTGTCTTAGTATTCTGTCCACCTTTTCTGTACTCTCTACCGGCTTTCAACCTCTGGTCTCACTATCCCCACTGAACATTGGCCCCACTGAACAGCCCCGCTGCTACTGAACAGGTTTCTTCATGCCCTTTGTTCATGAAGAAACTTTGTTCTTGACTTTCTCTTTCTTTCTTTTTTTTTTTTCTGTTTTTTTGAGATGGAATCTCTCCCTGTCACCCAGGCTGAAGTGCAGTGGCACAATCTCTGCTCACTGCAACCTCCGCTTCCCGGGTTCAAGCAGTTCTCCTGCCTCAGCCTCCCTAGTAGCTGGGATTACAGGTGCACACCACCATGCCCAGCTAATTTTTGTATTTTTAGTAGAGACAGGGTTTCACCATGTTGGCCATCAGGGTCTCAAACCCCTGACCTCAGATGATCCGCCCACCTCAGCCTCCCAAAAGTGCTGGGATTACAGGCATGAGCCACCGCACCCGGCCCCATCTCTCTTTCCATAATGTTCTTTCCTCTCTGCCCTTTCTCCTACCCACTTGTCTCCCTTCTTGGCAGCCTAGAGAACTTAAATTCATTCTTCAGTACTCAGCTCAAAGGTTACCCACCCTGGCACTTTCCCCTTCCCTTCCCTCTCCCCGTCTCGCACATGGTATGCAGAATTCTAAGATGGCCTCCAAGATTTCTGTCTCCTGGTATACACATCTTACATAATCCCCTCTCCTTGAGTGTTGGCAGCATTTGTGAATATGATGGGATGTCACTCTCTTGATTATGGTAAAAAGGATTTTGCAGATGTAATTAAGGTCCCTAATCAGCTGATTTTGGGTTAATCAAAAGGGAGTTTAGTCTGGCTAGGTCTGTCCTAATTAGGGGAGACCTTCAAAAAGGGACTAGGGGCCAGGCATGATGGCTTATGCCTATAACCCAGCACTTTGGGAGGCAAGAGGACCTCTTGAGCCCAGGGGTTGTAGAACAGCTGAGGCAGCATAGGAAGACCCCCATCTCTACAAAGAAAAAATTGTTTTAATTAGCCAGGCATGGTGGCATATGCCTGTAGTCCCAGCTACTTGGGAGGCTGAGCGGGAGGATGGCCTAAGCCCAGGAGTTCGAGGCTGCAGTGAGCTGTGATCGCATCACTGCACTCCAGTCTGGGTGACAGAGTGAAACCCTGTCTCAAAAATAAATAAATAGCCAGGCACGCTGGCTCATGCCTGTAATCCCAGCACTTTGGGAGGCCGAGGCAGGTGGATCACCTCAGGTCAGGAGTTTGAGACCAGCCTGGCCAACATGGTAAAACCCCATCTCTACTAAAAATACAAAATTAGCTGGGCATGGTGGTACATGCCTGTAATCTCAGCTACTCAGGAGACTGACATGGGAGAATCACTTGAACCCAGGAGGTAGAGATTGGAGCAAGCCAAGATCATACCATTGCACTCCAGCCTGGGCAACAAGAGCAAAACTCTATCTCAAAATAAATAAATAATAAAACCCTGAAAACAAAAAGGGACTAGGATCCTCCCTGAAGTCAAAGAGAATTTCCTGCTAGTCTTGAAGAAGAAAGCTGCCACCTTATGAGAGGATGTGTGAAGTGGGCCATGTGACAAAGACTTGAGGGAAGCCTCTAGTTGATAAGAGTGGCCCCTGGTGACAGCTGCCAAGACAACAAAGGCCTCAATCATACAGATGCAAGAAACTAAATTCTGCCAACAATCACGTGAGCCTGGAAGAGGACCTCAACCTCCAGAAAGAAATGCAACCCGGCAGACACCTTGATTGTCAGCTTGTGAGACCCTGAGCAGAGGACTTGGTTCAGCCATACCTGTACCCCTGACACATGGAAACTGTGAGATAATACATTGTTGTTGCTTTAAGCTGCTAAATTGTAGTAATTTATTACATAGTAGTAGGAAACTAATACCACCACCCCTCCCAAGAATTCTTCATCTTCTGGATTCTGTAGCACATTGCACTCATCAGTATTATAACCCTCCCTACACCATATCATACTTATCCCCCACACATCTGCCACCCTACTGTCACTGCAATCCCAGGCCCAGTCTTCTTTGGGCGTGGTACCAAGTATCTGGGAGCTAATAGGTAGGAAGTAATACATGCTTGTTGAATTAATGTCATGCAAACCCAAAATTGGCTGCTATCTCTACTGCCTGAGTATTTTTAACAGAGGTAATCTTTTCTTTTTCTTTTTCTTTCTTTTCTTTTCTTTTTTTTTAGACCAAGTCTCACTCTGTTGCCCAGGCTGGTGTGCAGTGGTGTGATCTCAGCTCACTGCAACCTCTGCCTCCTGGGTTCAAGCGATTCTAGTGCCTCAGCCTCCCGAGTAGCTGGGACTACAGGCGGGAGTCACCACGCCCAGCTAATTTTTGTATTTTTAGTAGAGACAGGGTTTTACCATGTTTACCAGGCTGGTCTCGAACTCCTGACCTCAGATGTTCCACCCAGCTTGGCCTCCCAAAGTGCTGGGATTACAGGTGTGAGCCACCGTGCCCGGCCAGAGGTAATCTTTCTGACATCTTGTGTGTGTGTAGGGCTGGCTCAGTTGTCCATAACATTTTGTATGTACATACATAGATTTAATTATTAATTTAATGAATTCTATAGTAGCCCCTAAAAGAAGATATGGTTTCAGATTTCCCCTCTGGTTTTAGGCTATAACATTTCTCTTGAATGTTCTGAGAATATCAGATCCTCCATGACAATGTCTTTAAAATTGTGTCGAGTAACACTAACCCTTAAATGGGCTGTGGGCAGCTGTCAAGTTTCAGGCCTCAACTCTTGGCAAGACATTGTCTCTCTCAGAGGCCTTTAGAATGTCTCCAAAGCACGCTACAGTGTATCTGCTGAACTGTTAGCCAACAGCCTCTGTATCTCATGGGCAGGTATCAGTTTCACTGTTGTAATATCCCCTCAACAACCATTGCAATGGCCAGGACATGTGGCCTGGCCTGTGGTTCAGAAACATAGTCACTGTAGCCATATATGACCCCAGAAACAGGGAACAGGTCTATGAGGTTGATTTGCCTGATTCCTACTCCACCCCCACATATGTGTATGCACACACACAGACACATACATGCATGTGTGCACACACACCCATATACATGCAGGTGTGCACACACACCCATATACACGCATGTGTGCACACACATGCACCCACCTTATTGGCGCCACTGATAATATAAAATACCTGTAACAAGGGACAGAACTTTTTATTTTTCTATGTGTAAGAAGATTTATGGGGTAAAAGCTCCTGAATAGGCCGGGCGCGGTGGCTCGTGTCTGTAATTCCAGCACTTTGGGAGTCTGAGGCAGGTGGATCACAAGCTCAAGAGATCAAGACCATACTAGCCAACATGGTGAAACCCCATGTCTACTAAAAATACAAAACTTCGCTGGGCGTGGTGGCGCACTCCTATAGTCTCAGCCACTAAGGAGGCTGAGGCAAGAGAATTGCTGGAACCCTGGAGGTGGAGGTTGCAGTGAGCCAAGATCACGCCTGGGAAACAGAGCGAGACTCCAGAAAAAAAAAGAAAGAAGAAGAGAGAGAGCGAGAGAAAGGAAGAAAAAAGAAAGGAAGGAAGGAAGGAAGGAAGGAAGGAAGGAAGGAAGGAAGAGAGAGGAGGGATTTCTCAAGGATCAGCGTATCTAAGCCAAAGGCCTTAGGGGAAGGGAGAGAAAGGAAGTGCGGGGCTTGGCAGGCACCTCTCCCTGCCTTTGATTCAGACATTCCTGGTGCTTACTGGGTGTAGACACTTTTCTCTCAGCCTGCTTCCTTGTAGGCAAAATGGGTGTAATAATCGCACTCACCTCATGGGGTTATTTTAAGAATTATATGAAACAATGCATGTTAGGCAGACAATTCAAGGCTCAGCACACAGAAAGCCACCCTTTAGCTATTACCAGTATTTGACCTGTAATCAGGCTCAAAGAGTGTCTTTTAGGGTCTCAAAAATTGGGTGCAAATTGGCTCTCCTCAGTAGTTGGTGGTTGCTCATCAGGTGTTTAGGACGTCTGCAAAGTAAGGAGGTCTGACAGACTCCTCATTGTAAGCTGTTCCCTAGTCACTCTGCCCCCATACTGGGAGTGGCAAGGGAGGCATTTGGCAAGAAACCCAGCAGTGAGACAATAGGTGTGAAAGATGAACAGGAAGTGTGGTTTGGAAGCAAGTGCTAGCACCAAACCACTCATGGAGAACACCTAATCTGGCTGCTGATTGGGCGCTGAGCCATCACTCATATCAAGCTTCAATGGGAAGGTTTGTATCCATGCCCAAACTTACAGCACACGGACCTTCACCAGGGAGATTGACTGAACTGGTGACCAAGGGCTCCCTTGAGACAGCATGGCCTTTGGCCTTCCAGGTTCAAATCCTAGGTCACTCAGTTACTACCTGAGGCACATTATTTAACCTCTTGGAGCCCCATCTGTCTTATCTTTGAAACAGGCATGGCTGTTGGGAGGGTTAGTGGAGATAACATGGAAAGAGCCTAGCACAGGGCCTGGCCCACTCCACAAATGCGAGCTCCCTCCCATTTCCCCTCCCAGGCATCTGAGACACCCCTCCACCCCTTCCTTGTCTCCTCACTGAAGACAGTTAAGCATGCTGTCTGGGGATGACGCCAGTTCTTGATTATTTGATATTGCCACACATCTGGCCTTATCACTGACTATTGACTATAAGACTGGCTGCCCTCTGCTCCACCTGGCTCCTTCCGGCCAGGTGGCTTCTCCTGACGCACTTGGACAACAGTGAAGGGTTGGGCCAGGTCGCCTGGTGGCACCAGGGTTGATGTGAAAGAGTTTTTCCTCAATATTCCAAACTTAAGAGAAGGAATGACTTTAAAAATGCATATGTATCTGCATGCCTGAAACACACACCTTTGAGAAGTTTCCTTCCTTTGAGTACCCAGACTGCAGTTGTTCTGACAAGTGCCCTGCCTGATCCTCCCTCTGAACACTTTCGTAGTTCCCAAGCTTCTCTTCCAGATAATCTAGGGTTCCTGTTTCTCAGCTCATCTCCTAAATGTTGGGGTTCTAGGAGATTCTGCCGTCAGTGCCCCCACCCACCATGCTCTCTGCATGACCTCAACCACAGCCATACCCTGCTGAGTTCCGAATCCATCTGCCTGGCTCTTCTGCCCACACATCTGCATACACAGCTGCCTCCATTTCCACCTGGTGGTTCTTAGACTTAACGTGTACAAAACAGAATGATGGATCTTCTTGACACACACCTAATTCTTCTATATTCTGTGCCCCAGTAAATGGCATGTCCTGCAAACCCAGAAGCATAAGCAAATCTCTTGATCTCCCTCTTCTGTTAATTCTATTTCCTTAGTATCTCTTGACTGTATCCCCTCCTTCCCATCTACCTTCCACCTCTGCATTCTGGCTGCCGCTGTATCTCCCCTGTAACACGGGAACCACGGCCTCAGTGGGCTCCTTGCTTCTAGTCGTTGTTCTCCACCATTGCCCCTAGAGACAACTTTCTAAAATGTAAATCTGACGGCACGCCTCCTCTTACTTAAAAATCTCTCAGCCAGGAGCGATAGCTCACGCCTGTAATCCCAGCACTTTGGGAGGCTGAGGCGGGCAGATCATGAGGTCAGGAGATTGAGACCAGCCTGACCAACATGGAGAAATTCCGTCTCTACTAAAAATACAAAAATTATCCGAGCGTGGTGGTGCATGCCTGTAATCCCAGCTACTCGGGAGGCTGAGGCAGGAGAATCGCTTGAATCCGGGAGGCGGAGGTTGCAGTGAGCCAAGATTGTGCCATTGCACTCCAGCCTGGCAACAAGAGTGAAACTGTCTCAAAAACAAAAACAAAAACCTCTCAAGGGCCCTTTCTCAGTCAAGGTCCAGACGGGGAACTGAAATCACACCAGCTATTGTAACACATTGTAACAGGGTCAATTTAAGATAAAGAATTGTTTACTAGGTCCAAAACAAAAAAGAATTGTTAACTTCAACTTGGAAAGTGAAATGACAAAGAGAACACTGAGGTATCACTGAGGCAGCAACTGCAGGAAACAGCTACTCCTCCTCCCAGGACTGTGGGAACAAAGGGAAAAAGGTGGGATTATTCATTTAGGGAGGAGGGATCCATGGCTTTAATGATAAGAAACAAACTAGTATGACATGCAAAGTCCTCGTGGTCTGTCCCCTGCTTTCTTTCTGGCTTCCTCTGTAGTCACAGCACCGGCTTCCTCATCCTCAGCCCAGGCTGAGCCACTCTGCTCTCACCACTCCATGCTTTTTACACGTGCAGCTGCTGCCTGGAATACTGTTCTTCACCCTTTTTCCTGGTAACTCACCATTCATTCACAAGACTTTGCTGACCGCTGCCCCACTTCAGGCTGAGTTCAGTAGCCCCCTTTCTTTTCTTTTCTTTTCTTTTTTTATTTTTTTGAGACGGAGTTTCACTCTTGTTGCCCAGGCTGGAGTGCAATGGCACAATCTCAGCTCACTGCAACCTCCACCTCCTGGGTTCAAGCGATTCTCCTGCCTCAGCCTCCTGAGTAGCTGGGATTACAGGCAAATGCCACCACACCTGGCTAATTTTTTGTATATTTTAGTAGAGACAGGGTTTCACCATGTTGGTCAGGCTGGTCTCGAACTCCCGACCTCAGGTGATCTGCTCACCTCAGCCTCCCCAAGTGCTAGGATTACAGGCATGAGCCACCGTGCCCAGCCTCAGTGGCCCCCTTTCTTTTATTTTTTTGAGACAAGGTCTTGCTCTGTCACCCAGGCTAGGTGCAGTGGCACGATCTCAACTCACTGCAGCCTCAACCTCCCGGGCTCAAGCAATGCTCCCATGACAGCCTCCCAAGTAGCCAGGACTACAGGCACGTGTCACCATGCCCAGCAAATATGTAAATGTTTTGTAGAGACGGGGTTTCACCATGTTGCCCAGGGTGGTCTTGAACTCCTAGACTTAAGCCATCCACCTGCCTCGGCCTCCGAAAGTGCTGGGATTACAAGTGTGAGCCACCGTGCCCAGCCTCAGTGGCCCCCTTTCTTAAGGGCACCCATAACATGCTGGTCATATCACTACCACATCACACTGTATCATCATTGTCAGTTTAGTCATCTACGAGCTCCATGGGACAGGACAGGGGCAGTCCCTTTTTTCTCTTTGCCCCTCCAGTTTTCAGTATTGGCAGGTACCATGCACTCATTACATTGTTGAGTATTAAAATCAAACCCATGTTGCCTCTCATATAAATAAATAGTATTCTCCTGCCTGATTTCCCCACCAAATCCAACCTTCCTAAGGGCCAGCTCTGGTCCTATCTCTCTAATAATCAAAAAATCTTCAGTGGCTCCCCATTGTCTGTGGCATAAAGTCCAAACTCCTTAGCATGCCATGTCTGGTGTTGTCTCTGACCTTGCTATCTAGGCTTATTGCCCCCTACACCCCTGCATGCACCACCCCTGCCAGGCTCCTCCCATGCCAGGCCACTCTATTTCCTCAGCACCTTGGACTCTGTCCCTCTGGATCAGAGTTCACTCTGTTACCTTCACCTGGAATACCTTTTGGGGCTACCTTTCCCTGTTGCAATTCTCACCAACCTTCAGGGCCTGGTTCCTAGACCATCTGCCTCAAGAATCCTTCCTGCATCCTCCTGAAGCAGTGGAGGATCAAGTCTCGAATGTTGAACAGGACCTTTATATCCCTATGGGGTCGGTCTAGCTTCTACTCACTAGTCTCACCTTCTCTCTTCCCACTCACCTCTTTGCTCTGTCTGCCCTAGAATGCTGGCCTTCTCTGGGCTCCTGACATGTGCCAGGCTGTTCCATGCTGCTCAGCCATTGTGCATGCTGTTCCTTCTGTCTGGAAGGCTGTCCTGCTCACCCTTCACCCACCTCACTTTCCTGACCCCAGACCATGTGAGCGCTCTCTATTGGCATTCTGTGTGTGACCTTTTATTCAGTTGTGTCTCCCGGCTCTGCTGGACTCTATACTGCATGAAAGAAGAGACTGTGTGTATCTTTTTAATTATTATTATTATTATTATTTTAAACGGAGTTTCGCTCTTGTTGTGCAGGCCAGAGTGCAATGACGCGATCTCGGCTCACCACAACCTCTGTCTAACAGGTTCAAGTGATTCTCCTGCCTCAGCCTCCTGAGTAGCTGGGATTACAGGCATGCGCCAGCACACCCAGCTAATTTTGTATTTTTAGTAGAGACGGGGGTTTCTCCATGCTGGTCAGGCTGGTCTCGAACTCCTGACCTCAGGTGATCCGCCCGCCTCAGCCTCCCAAAGTACTGGGATTACAGGCATGAGCCACTGCAGCTGGCTACTTTTTATTATTTTTATTTTTTGAGATAGATTCTCGCTCTGTCACCCAGGCTGGAGTGCCGTGGAACAAATCCGGCTCACTGCACCTTCTGCCTCCCAGGCTCAAGCAATCCTCCCACCTCAGTCTGCTGAGTAGCTAGGATTACAGGCGTGCACCACACTCCTGGCTAATTTTTTTTGTATTTTTAGTAGAGATAGAGTTTCACCATGTTGGCCAGGCTGGTCTCGAACTCCTAACCTCAGGTGATCCGCCCTCCTCGGCCTCCCAAAGTGCTGGGATTACAGGTGTGAGCCACCATGCCCAGCCCTGTGCGTGTCTTGTTATCATTCTATCCCTAGTGCTTAGCACAGTGCCTAGGCATACCAGATGCTCAAAAATGTTTATTCACTAACAAGTTTCTCCATTTATACCACTCTCAGCAATCTTCAGCAAAATGGTTATTTGTATATACATACTTTTCCCCATCTTGATCATAAGCTGCCTTTTTTTTTTCTTTTTTTTTTGAGACAGGGTCTCACTCTGTTGCCCAGGCTGGAGTGCAGTGGCACATTCTTGGCTCACTGCAGCCTCGACCTCCTGGGCTCAAGCAATCCTCTCACCCTCAGCCTTCTGAGCAGCAGGGACTGCAAGAGCATGCCACTACACCCAGCTAATTTTTTGTATTTTTTGTAAAGACAGGGCTTTGTCATGCTGCCTAGGCTGGTCTCAAACTCCTGAGCTCAAGCAATCCACCCGCCTCAGCCTCCCAAAGTGCTAGGATTACAGGAATAAGCCACCATGCCTAGCCATAGCTGCTTTTTAAATAAAAATTTTAAAATACCTTTTTGTTTTGTTTTGTTTTGTTTTGTTTTGAGCAGGAGTCTTGCTCTGTTGCCCAGGCTGGAGTGCAGTGATGCCATCTCGACTCACTGCAACCTCTGCCTCCCAGGTTCAAGCAATTCTCCTGCCTCAGCCTCCCGAGTAGCTGAGATTACAGGCGCCCGCCACCACGCCTGGCTAATTTTTGTATTTTTAGTAGAGACGAGGTTTCACCATGTTGGCCAGACTGGTCTGGGACTCCTGACCTCAAGTGATCCTCCCGCCTCAGCCTCCGAAAGTGCTGGGATTACAGGTGTGAGTCACCGCACCTGGCCAAAAATACCTTTTTATTATGTACATTTTGAAAGATACACAAAAGTCAAAAAATAATGTAATAACCCCCCTTTTCCATCATGCTACCTCGATAGTCATCAACATTTGGCCAGTTGTATTTCATCTGTCCTCCTTTTTTTTCTGCATTATTTAAAAGTACATCTCAGACATCATGAATCAAACACTTCTTGAGAGCTGATGTGTCTTGTTTATGTTTCTCATGGCCTTTAGCTTAGTATCTGGCCCCAACAGATGAAAATTGTTAACTGAATTAATCAAGGAAAAATGTGATTCATTCATTCAAAAATTCATTCAACAAATACTTATCGAGCAGCCACTATATACCAGACACTCTTCTAGGCATTGGGGATAGATTCTAGTGGAAGGACACAGGAATGAACAAATGAATGAATGAATAAATGACAAAATTTTAATTTTTTTATTTTTTTGAGACAGAGTCTCACTCTGTCACCCAGGCTGGAGTGCAGTGGTGCGATCTCAGCTCACTGCAAACTCCGCCTCCTGAGTTCAAGCAATTCTCCTGCCTCAACCTTCCAAGTAGCTGGGATTACAGGCTTGCACCACCACACTGGCTAATTTTTGTATTTTTAGTAGAGGTAGGGTTTCACCATTTTGCCTAGGCTGCTCTCGAACTCCTGAGCTCAGGCAATCCACTTACCTTGGCCTCCCAAAGTGCTGGGATTATAGGTGTGAGCCACTGCACCCCGCCAAAATGACAAAATTTTAAAGAGCACATTACTGCAGATTACCTGGGGCAAAAAAAAAAAAAAGAAAGAAAGAAAGAAAAAACCCCATAGTGATAAGTGGTATGCAAATAATTAAAACAGGTGAATGTGATAGCAAGTGATTAAGTGGCTACTTAGAACAGGTGGTTAGGGAGAGCCTCTCTGAGAAGGTGACCTTTATACTGCGTCTTGAATGGCAAGAAGGAACCAGCCGTGGGAAACTGAGTGAGAAAAGCAGTCCAGATGGAAAGAATAGCAACTGCAGTGTCCCTAAGGCAGAGCCAGCTTGACTGTTTGAGGAACAGAGAGAAAGGCAGTGTGGCTAGAGTGTGGGGGTGGGGGAAGTGGCAGGAGTGAGGTCTGAGAAGCAAGCAGAGGCCACATCCTGTAGGGATTAAGGGTTTTGTTGAAGGTTTGTCTGGAATCCATTGGAGGCTTTGCAGGGGAGTGATACAATCTGTTTAAAAGATCATTTTGCAGGCCACGTGCGGTGGCACATGCCTGCAATCCCAGCATTTTGGGAGGCTGAGGCAGGTGGATCCCTTGAGTTCAGGAGTTTGAGATCAGCCTGGCCAACACGGTGAAACCTCATCTCTACTAAAAATACAAAAATTAGCCAGGTGTGGTGGCACGTGCCTGTAATCCCAGCTAGTCAGGAGACTGAGGCAGGAGAATCACTTGAGCCTGGGAGGTAGAGGTTGTAGTGAGTAGAGATCGTGCCACCACACTCCAGCTTGGATGACAGAGTGAGACTCCATCTCAAAAGAAAAAAAAAATCATTTTGCAGCCTGTGCAATATATCAGACCCTGTATCTACAAAAAAAACAAAATAAAAAATTAGCTGGGGCCAGGCGCAGTGGCTCACGCCTGTAATCCCAGCACTTTGGGAGGCCGAGTGGGCGGATCACAAGGTCGATTTCATCCTGGCCAATATGGTGAAACCCTGTCTCTACTAAAAATACAAAAATAAAAATTAGCTGGGTGTGGTGGCGCACACCTGTAGTCCTAGCTACTCAGGAGGCTGAGGCAGGAGAATCGCTTAATCCTGGCAGGTGGAGGTTGCAGTGAGTAGAGATCATGCCATTGCACTCCAGCCTGGGTGACAGAGCGAGACTCTGTCTCAAAAAAAAAAAAAAAAATTAGCTGGGCACATGCCTGTCGTCCCACCTACTTGCAAGACTGAGGCAGGAGGATCACTTGAGCCCAAAAGGTCAAGGTTGCAATGAGCTGTGATCACACCACTGCACTCCAGCCTGGACGACAGCAAGACTCAGTGTCAAAAAAATTTAATAAATAAAAATACTTTTTAAAAAATAAAAGATCATTTTGGCTGTGGTGTGGAAAATAAGGCATGTGGTGGCAGGAAGACCAATGAAAAGGCAATTGCAAAAGTTTAGGAAAGAATGATGGTGTTTTAGGCCAGGTAGGAGCAGCAAAGATGGAGAGAAATGGAAGACACAGGAGATGTGTTGGAGGCAGAGTGGATGGGTCTTGCTGACGGATTCGATGTGGAGCTGAGGGAAAGAGTCAAGGATGATTCCTGAGAGAAGGAAGGCCACTCTTACAGACTAAGGGGCACCAGTGACGGGGAGGAGGCAGTCGGGGGTTCCAGCTAGTGAACAGCAGTGTGGGCATACATGACACCAGGTGGAGTCAGCCAAGCTCACACAGTTTTACTTCAGAAGCTTCAGCACCAGCCTCAGGTTCCTCGTCTGTAAAATGGCCATGACAATAACATCCTGAGCATTTCATTTCAAAGTTAAATGAGAAGGTGCATGAAGGGTCAGTGGTGAGCTAATGCATAGTGAATGTCCTTACCCATTTCCTCTTCCTAGAATGCACCCTCCCACCATAAGCTTCGGTCTGCGTCTGCGGAGCCGTCCTGGGGAGTGAGTGTACTTCCCTTGCTCGTCGGGGAGTGTCATACTCCCCAGGGAGAACCCGATTGACCCACTCACTGGTTGGGTAATTCTTGTACTTTTGGTACTCCCCGCAGGTGGGGCTGGGACAATAGGGAAATCGTTGCCCCAGGGCTAAGGTTTTTTTAGGGGATGAGTGAGACCCAGGATTCTTGGGGTCCTGGACTTCCCCAAAAAAGGGTAAGAATGAGAAGGGAGCAGGAAGAGTAGGAGGCTGTGGGTGCTGCTCCTCTGTTTATGTGGGATCCAGGGAGGCAGGACCCCCAGAGACTGGGGGCTCTCTGCTCATGGCTCCTCCCCTGGTCCAGTGATTCAATGAACAGACAGGGCCCCAGGAACTTGCCTTGGCTTGTACTTGGGGAAATGCTTCCGGATCTCCTATAACTAGAGTCAGAGAGCAGGGGCCAGGCCACCTAAAAGTGGCTCTCCCCACTGTCTCCCTCCTGGCTCCCCAGACAGCACAAGTGCTAACATTTTTAAAAGTTATATATGTATACGTATGTGTATATGTATGTATATATACACACGTATGTCATATTTTGTAAGTATGTATATGTATAGAAAGACTAAAAAACAGACATTACAATGTTAAAGGTAGATTTTCTCTAGGTGGCAGAATTGTGAATTATATTTATCTGTGATTTTTCTGTATTTTCTGCAATGTGTTTTTTCCCAAAAGGGCAAAATATTACAACTAAAGAACTTCTAAAATATCTTTCTTTCAAAGTGCTCAAAATCTTCCATGATTCTGATCTCTCCCTGAAACCCTCAGCATGGGGAGAATTTGTATAAGAGTGATAGTAAAGATCATTCTTTTTTTTTTTTTTTTTTGAGACCGAGTCTCGCTCTGTCACCCAGGATGGAATGCAGTGGCACGATATCGGCTCACTGCAACCTCTGCCTCCCGGGTTCAAGTGATTCTCCTGCCTCAGCCTCCTGAGTAGCTGGGACTGCAGGTGTGTGCCACCACCATGCCCAGCTAATTTTTGTATTTTTAGTAGAGATGAGGTTTCACCATGTTGGCCAGGATGGTCTCAATCTCCTGACCTCGTGATCCACCCGCCTTGGCCTCCCAAAGTGCTGGGATTACAGGCATGAGCCACCACGCCCAGCCTACTCTTTGTATTTTTAGTAGAGACAGGGTTTCACCATGTTGGCCAGGATGATCTCGATATATTGACCTCGTGATCCGCCCGCTCGGCCTCCCAAAGTGCTAGGATTACAAGCGTGAGCCACCACACCCGGCCACTTTGCAGTTTTTCTAAATTAAATTAATTTTTTTAACAAGCAGATTGCTTTTTAAGATAAGGAAAGTTAACAAGGATTCTAATCTGCTTTTGAGTTACATTTACATTTTCTGGGCGGGCACGGTGGCTGACGCCTATAATCCCAGCACTTTGGGAGGCCAAGGCTGGCAGATCACGAGGTCAGGAGTTCGAGACAAGCCTGGCAACATGGTGAAACCCCATCTGTACTAAAAATACAAAAATTAGCCGGGCAAGGTGGTGGGTGCCTGTAATCCCAGCTACTCGGGAGGCCGAGGCAGGAGAATTACTTGAACCTGGGAGGCGGAGGTTGCAGTGAATGGAGATGACACCACTGCACTCCAGCCTGGGTGACAAGAGCAAGACTCCGTCTCAAAAAACAATAATAATAAAATAAAATAAATTACATTTTCTTAGTTGCTGGACTTAATCTCAGGCATTCTCCTTCCTTTGTTTCACTAATTGCTCTGCTGGTGCACCTGCCCACGTGGCACACCACTTCCATCTCGCACGGCTGCTGCCAGCTCGGTGCACTTCCTAAAATGTCTCACCAGGGAAGAAAGACATCCTGCGGCCCATCCTGGGGCTCATTCACAACAGATCCTACAGCCCCGAAATAAACAGCCAGGGTGTTTCCTCTTCCTAAAGGGGAAGCAGAAGCTCCTGGTGAGCAGAGGGAAGGGTGAGCCCTGTCTAGACCACCATCCCGGGGGAATTCTGTCCACACAGTTCCCCATGGAAATCCCCAAGGCCTAGAGCAGCTCTGCTGACTCAGGCCATTCTAATTGTGTCTCGGAAGCCGGCCAACCTTCCCTCTCCAGCACCCTCCATCCCATACCTCCTGAGGAAGGCAAAAGATCCCAGAGGCACCTACCTGCGTGCAGGGTGAGCTTCCAAAAGAGAGTCTGCTTAGGTAAGGTAATGGTTCCAATTAGAGTTTCCTTGATTGATTGGGCTTTCATGTCTCACCTTGAGCACTGCCTGGAGATAATCCTCTGCTCCCATCTCTGGGAACTTCCCTGGCTGGGGTATGGCCCAAAGGGACTCCGAGAGTAGCCGCATTTTACCGGTGCACGTAAATTGCTCCATGTTCATTTCTGAGTAAAAGAATCAAGTGCAGTGCATGGGCAATTTACCCCTCAGGTTATATTTGGCAATGTCTAGTGACATCTTGGGTCATCACAACTGTGTGCTACTAGCATCCAGTAAACATCCTCCAATGCTCAGGATAGCACACAGCTCCTCCTGACCCTACCAAATAATTAACCAGCCCTAAATGCCAATAATGCAGAGATTGGGAAACCCTGGTCTAAGGTGTGCCCTGTACTTAATAGATGCAAAGAAAGGGGGCACTAGGGAATCCCAAGACTTGGGGATATCTGGAAGATCCACTGGGAGAAGGATTTTCCTAAAGAATATGAGCAATGTTTCCAAACTGCTGGCTCCTACCAAAAACATGGTATATTTCTATTTCTTTTTTTTTTTCTTTTTTGAGACGGAGTCTTGCTCTGTCACCCAGGCTAGAGTGCAGTGGCACGATCTCAGCTCACTGCAACTTCCGACTCTCTGGTTCAAGAGATTGTCCTGCCTCAGCCTCCCGAGTAGTTGGGATTACAGGCACGTGCCACCACACCCAGCTAATTTTTGTATTTTTAGTAGAGACAGGGTTTCACCATGTTGGCCAGGATAGTCTCGATCTCCTGACCTCGTGATCTGCCCACCTTGGCCTCCCAAAGTGCTGGGATTACAGGCGTGAGCCACCGTGCCCAGCCTACTTCAAAAAGACTTTTAAAAGCTATTATGCTATAGGTAGTTTTTTTTTTTTTTTTTTTTTAGTTTAGAGGCAGGGTCTCTCTCACTCTGTCGTCCAGGCTGGAGTGCAGTGAAATGATCATGGCTTACTGCAGCCTCAACCTTCTAGGCTCAAGCTATCCTCTGGCCTCTACCTCCTGAGTAGCTTGGACTACAGGCACGCACCATCACATCACGCTAATTTTCTATTTTTTATAGAGATGGGGTCTCACTATGTTGCCCAGGCTGGGTTCAAGCAATCCTCCTCCTGCCCAGCCTCCCAGAGTGCTGGGATTACAGGCATGAGCTGCTGTGCCTGGCCACAAGTACTTTTTTTTTTTTTTTTTTTAGACAGAGTCTCACTCTGTAGCCCTGGCTGGAGTGCATTGGCGTGCTCTGGGCTCATTGCAGCCTCCACCTCCAGGGTTCAAGTGATTCTCCTGCCTCATCCTCCTGAATAGCTGAGACTGCAGGCGCTCACTGCCGCACCCAGCTAATTTTCGTATTTTTAGTGGAGACAGGGTTTCACCATGTTGGCCAGGCTGGTCTCAAACTCCTGACCTCAAGTGATCTGCCCACCTCAGCCTCCCAGAGTGCTGGGATTACAGGTGTGAGCCACCGTTCCAGCCACTTTTCGTATTTTTAAGGAAAAAAAAAAAGCATATGGGAAAGGATAGGGGATGGAAGGAGAAAAATCTGGATTCTGGCCACTAGCTTTGCTCTGATTCCGAGCACTTGGTAATTAGACATAGACTCTTCTGTCAGGAATCTGGCAAATAAAACAAAAGAATAGGATCCATATTTGTTATGTTAACCCTTGTAATTGTCTGGAAGCTTGACCATGCCTGAAAGTATATCAACACAAGACAAAGTGAACTAAAAATTTAATAACATTCTGGTTCATTTAACTAACAGGTGGTCAAATGTCTATAGTTGAAGTTGCATCCATGAACATTTGAATTAACTATGGCTGCAGTGATAACACTTGCCAGGTCTTTGCTTTACTTCTCCCTGCAAATCCTGGGTATTTACTTGGGTATCTTGAGCCTCTGGTAAAATGCTATTGCATGTCCTCCTCCTTTGACTCTCTTCCCAAGAGCTGCTTTGATTCGACAAGCCTCCACTGAGCCCTTCAAATGTGCCCTGCAGTGTAGTAGTTGCTGTGGATACACTCATAGTACGTGGATGCTAATTTGGGATTAGTATGGCATTTTGAGACAGAAGGCTTGAAAAAAATGGTACTGCCTCTAATGGAAGAGGACACTAAGTGAGTGAGTGGGAGCTGGGTTGGTCTGGAAGACAATGACTCAGGACATGAGGTGATCAGGGCATCCCAGTGGAAAATGTTTATGAAGTTGTTGGAGCTGAAGGGTTGGATCTTAGGTGAGAATATGAGCTCAAGAACTAAATGTGGAAGTCTTCCATGTAAAGGTGAGTCCACTGAGAAGGGCAGAAAATAGAACAGAAGCCCACCGGCTAAACCTTGAGGTGCAA